>NC_000007.14:146882622-147034137 GCF_000001405.40 Homo sapiens
CAATTAAACCTCTTTCCTAAGTTACCCAGTCTTGGGCAGTTCTTTATAGCAGTGTGAGAACAGACTAATATACTCAGTAATGGGATTGCTGAGCTGAATGGTAGGTCAGCTCCTAGTGCTGTACAAAAATAAGTAGCATTTCTGTACACAAATAATGTTCAGGCTGAGAACCAAATCAAGAATGCGATACCTTTTACAATAGCTACAAAAAGAAGAAAATATCTAGGAATACAACTAAGCAAAGAGCTGAAGAATCTCCACAAGGAGAACCATAAAACACTGCTGAAAGAAATCAGAGATGATGCAAATAAATGGAAAAATATTCCATGTTCATGGATTGAATCAATATTGTTAAAATGACCACACTGCCCAAAGCAATTTACAGATTCAAACCTATTCTGATCAAACTACAAATGTCACTTTTTGCAGAATAGGTTATGTACTTTTTAACTATTTGGTGTGTTACATAGGTACCGTAACTGTAAATTTGTTTTATGTAGTTGTTTATATAGTTCTAAATAACTAATGGACTTGAATTATTTTAGCCATGGATATGCATTTGTACATTGTATTTTTCAAAATTTTTATTTATTTCAAAACTGAAATACAGCATATTATTCTTTACAATGTTATTTCACAATATTCCCTATAAAGGTGTTTCCAATAATTTCAGAGATAACTTTTAAAATTATATTTAAGCTCCTGGCACATACTTCTGATAATTGCATTGCCTTTCTCTTTTCTTTAGTTGCTAGTAGTAATTCTCAAAAAATACGTTTTTTTCTATGTGTTCAAATTTGCAGTTATTGAGGTTTTAAAGGGAAGATTTACACATGTGTGTGCACATGCATATTTAAAAGAAAACAGTTTTTATTTTCATTGGAATATTCTCATAAGAACCAAATAAACTTTAGCTTAGAAATTTAGGACAACGAAGAGAAGATTTTGCGAGAACTCAGCAAATTTAAGTGTTTCTGTCTCTGCTCCATTCCTTTCAAATGCATAAGTACATACAGCCAATACACACACATTATCATTTGTGAAATGCCATCTTGTTAGGTTATAATAAATGTACTAAAGAGTTAAGAACATCAGGACAGAATGTTTAAAAATAATGGCTCTAAACAATTGATCAAAACACTATTTTAGTATAAAAAATTAGTTTCTCCAATTTCTCCAAAATCATCTTATAGATTATTTAGAATAATTTCAAGCTGTTTTTTTAACATCAAAGAGAATGTTAATGTAAGTTGTTCCACTTTCTGCTAATATATAAAATAATCATATTATGTTTGAAGTGTCATTTATTAGTTTTTTTGGAAGAAGCCATAGTTTATGACCTATCTTGGTTACTATTGATGTTCAATGAATTTTAAGCATGTAAATAGGGCATTTTCAATAGAAAAGTTCATCTGATTTCTAACTATTATTTTACCAGTAACAAACTCCGTAATATAATTGTCCCTGGGTATATGCAGGGGATGGGTTCCAGGACCGTCTGCCTATACCAAAACCCAAATATTCAAGACCTGCAGTTAGCTCTGTGAAATCCAGGTATATGAAAAGTTGGTGCTCCTGATATGTGGGTTTTGGATCCAGAAAATACTGTATTTTTGATCCCCACGTTTGGTTGAAAAAAATTTGCATATAAGTGGACCTGCACAGTTCAAATTTGTGTGTGAGGTTCAACTGTGCTTCTTTTCTTGCATATTATTTATTTGCAGGTACATTGCAGCTAAAATTGGAGGAAGAATAAATTTGACAGGTAGCAATGGAATAGTGGAAAGAGTGGTCCCTATTTTGGCTGTTACTACTATACAGCTCCTTCTCTTCTTGGGCATCTCGAAACCTCCCAGTGCCATCTTAAGAACTGAGTGAGATGTTTCCTACTCAGTATGTATTGAGTATCAGCTATGGGTTAGATGCTGTTCTAAGCATGGAGAGTACAATGTTCCTTGAGGTAGATGAGGTCCCATACATATGGGATTTACATTCAGGTGATGAATAGGACATTGCACTACAGGATGGGGCTGGAGGGCCCACTGGAGCATAAGTAGAGTGCAACAGAAGACTTCGAGGAGAAAGCCCATGTCTAACTGGGGCCAAAATGCTGATGAGCAGGAATTAGTCAAGCAAAATTAGTCAAGGAAGGGAGGGGAAGTAGAGAGTAAATTACTTTGTAAATGATAGGCTGCTACTCAAAATAAAAAGTACAATAATTATTATCATTCTAAAAACTTGTAGACAAAATTATAATTTGCTTTTCTAGCTCCCTTAAAAATTTTTACAGCTCTCAATGTCATATATGCCTTTAAAGGTAAGTCTCTACAAGCCTAATCACTGCATTTGATAAGTTCAAGAGTTTATAATCAATGGTGGTCTAATGAAATTTTTTAAATGCATGTGTATCTCCCAGACCCCCAAACTAAAAATTTCATGGAAAAATATGTTTACATGTTAGATGAGTTATGTTAACTACTTATGTTTAGCCAACTAGTTGTGTGGTTTCTTGGAAAACTATTTTCAGAGGACATAGAAACAATGTAAATAAAATGAAATTATAATTTGCTTCCGAAATGTTAAGTTACTCTTAACGTCTTTGGATATTTACATTGTTGATTCCAATAAAATAAAAAACCTGCAGCTTACATCAAATAAATCTTTTATTTTTTGCATAAGAAAATTTTTAAAAAATGAATTATTAACAAGTTAGTGGCAAGAAACGAGAATACCAGGGATCCAGTAGTCTAATGTAAATAATAATATAGGGGAATGTCACATGGGTAATTAACTTTGAGGCATTTCCTGGGATTTAAACAGTGTTAGGAAATTTGGCAAAACAAGCTCTTATATAGCTGATGTAAAAATGCACACACGTTGGCATTGTTTGAATTCTGCCACTTCCTCTAGTTTGTCCTTAAAAAAGCAAGAGCAATACATGATAATTATAGTTAATATAAATGGATATCTTTAATTATTTAAGATTTTAATCTTACAGAGAAAGTTTCAGCAATTATTTTTATTGTCTTCAGAACTTCTTTTTGCAAGGAAAGCAATTAGTTGGACATGGATTGAAACGAGCCAATAAGAAAACTTAAGTGATTCTATTTGTCATGTTTTCAATTACCGTATTGTCTTGGAGTGTGCTCTGCCAGTATTTTAACAACTGACTTATCACTTGAAGTCAAAGATTCTTTTCAGCATGAATTGTAAACTAAGCATTTCAATAATATGTGAGTGTATTTTGCACAGGATAGAACTTGTCGTGTTTCATTATGCTCTTTAACTCTGAATATATGTAAGTCGGTGTGTGTGTGTGTGTGTGTGTGTGTGTGTGTGTGTGTGTGTGTGTATGTGCTTTCCCTTTACATTTTTAAGATTTCAAGAATAGACTAATTCTAGTACAAATTACTCTAAAACGATTCCTTGTAAAGTTAACCCAATTGTTTCTCTGGCTGCTTTTATAAAAATTTGAAGGTTTATTCACCCCTCAACCCTGCAATCAAAACTGATTTTAAAAGAGCATCTGAAGCCTAGAGCTGGAGGAATGTTTTTTCATGTGTTTTATTTTGGTAATTACTTTCTTAATTTGTCAGGATTTTTCTGACTCTAAGGTTTTCCCTTATGCTATCAATTTTTTGTTCAGTTTTCTTAAAAAAAAAAAAGAAAGAAATATCTTTATACCAAGATAGCACCAATCTCACTTTCAAAGCTGCCAAAATTTGCCCTCCTACATTCTTTTATTGTTTTTAATGTTTAATTCTAAAACAGACAAAGAAAAAAATTGCAGCACTATAATTCTTTTTGGTAGATATCTCCAATGATTCACATTTGTGCCCTGGTATATTCAATAAGACTACTAATCTTTGCCTCACAGATCCATGGAAAGAATAACATGGGAGGCTATTGGGACTGCCTGGACTGTATGTTTTTTTCTGTTTCTTAATCTAATATTCTACCAATCTCTCTTTAAAAATGTTAATTGATGATCACATCTTTTTCTTTTTAGGCATTTCAAATTTTGTAACATTAGTATTCTGTATGCTTAGTGTGCCAAGTAGGAATCTGCTTAAAATCATCAGGAAATTTTCATACCAACGTGTTCCTCAGTACCAAAATTGTACAATCATCACATGGAATAAGTTTATCTAGTATAGCCTCCTATGTCATGAGTGAATTCTCTTTATGCGTGAACACGAAATGGATTTTTCTGTATTTGCTTGACTAACACAAGTGTTATAAACTCATCATTTTCAAGCAACTCTTCTTGCTGGAAAACTTTTGCTAAATTCCTGTAATTTGCCAGTGAGTGACGTCTGCCCTGCTGCTCAGTGGATCATAGGAAATAGACCTAATATTTCTGCCATGTAAAAACCCTTAACTCCTTTATGGTGTGTCTGTATCCCCTCATGCTTCTCTCCATTCCCCAGTCTCCTTATTTACTCTTCTATCCATCAGACTAAGTATTCATAAAAATCTTCATTTTTTTCTATCTCAGATATCTAGATATCTACATAGTTTTTTTGTTTGTTTGTTTGTTTGCGACAGTGGAGTTTTGCTCTTGTGGCCCAGGCTGGAGTACAATGGCGCGATCTTGGCTCACTGCAAACTCGCCTCCCCAGTTCAGACAATTCTCCTGCCTCAGCCTCCCGAGTAGCTGGGATTACGGGCGCCCACCACCACACCCAACTGATTCTGTTTTATGTTTTGTTTTGTTTTGTTTTTTTGTATTTTTAATAGAGACAGGTTTCTCCATGTTGGCCAGGCTGGTCTCCAACTCCTGTAATCCTAGCACTTTGGGAGGCCGAGGCAGCGGATCACCTGATGTCATAAGTACATGGTTTTTATTTATCTCATTTAATTGTAATTATTTTACATTAATATCCTGCAGCCTGACCTTCATTATTAATAAGTATGAGTAAAGCCATTGAATCAGTTTTTCTTTCACATTACCATTTATTTTTCTGTATTTTTTTTCTAAAATTTCTTTCAGTAAGAAATTTTGTTGAAATCCAGGCATACGGTCTATATTCCCCTGTATTTTCTCTAATTGCCTTGTCAAAACAAACAAAAGAATTAAGTTGAGTCTGGCCTTAATAAACTCAGGCTGGCTTCCTGATATGCTTTTTTTCTAAGGTGTTAATGCAAATTTAGCATTTTATTCTAGATGAGATTGTATTCACAGATGTACACTTCACAGGTCATTTCCTTGACCACCCTAGCATTTCTTGTATAACCTACAATTAGTCAAAAAGAATTTATCTAAGTTCTTTTCTTATGTTAGGGTGTCCACTTTTAGTCTTAGAGATATAAACTGACTTAGGGTTGTTCTGTATATGTTTATGTTATCTTTGATAACCTTGATTTTTAGCTCTGACTACCAAGTATTTAAGTCCAAAATTTATTTACTTAGAAAATCTAGCCAATGAATTAATCTATCATCCATTGACATTAGATCATTAGCCTCAAGGACCAGGTTTTTGTGTTTTTTTCCCTCTTCTTACTCAAACAGAGTTCCAAATCTTTGAAAATTATATAATATTTCTTTAAACAATGTTATTTACAACATGGTATCATTTTATTTAACCTTCATTAAATATACTTTGGTTTTATTTTGGGCAGAACCTGATGATATCTGAATAGTAGAACTCGTGTGGAAATTTTCTCAATTTTATAACGTTTCTATTTTTTTCTCTCCAGAATATTTTATACATATATGGCTAACAAATTAATTTTACCTTACTTTCTATCACTTGTTAATTAACTTTCATTTACCTTTTATTGATATATTGGTAACAATTGTATTTTACTCTATCATTTCATATGTAAGGTAACTTCCACATCATGTGTTTTTCCTTATCAAAAATTTAAATTTAACTATATTCTAATGCTTTCCTTTTTAGTTATCATTAAATTGAAATAATCAAGACCACCATTTCCTAGGACCTTTTTCACTTCTATTCTGCCTACCCATTTTTTTTTCATCTTGATAAGAATTTGGTCCAGATTATATAGTATATACATACACTGAAATATTATTCAGCTTTAAAAAACAAGGAAATCCTGTCACTTGAGACAACATAGATGATCTGGAGGACATTATGTTCAGTAAAATAAACCAGACACAGAAAGACAAACACTATATGATGTTACCTACATGTGGGTTAAAAATAGTAAAACTCACAGAGAGTAGAAGAGTGGTTGCCAGGGGATAAGGGGAAGGGGAAATGGGGATATGATGGTCAAAGGGGGCAACATCTCAGTTATGCAAGGTAAATAAGTCCTGGAGAGCTAGTATCAAGCACAGTGCCTATAGCTAATGATACTACGTTGCATATTACAATTTCCTAAGTAGATAGTTCTTAACCACAGAGACACACAGATACACACATGCACACACAGAAAATAATAGAGTGGGAGGAAACATTGGGAACTGATAGATATGTTTATTGCCTTGATGGTGATGATGGTTTCACCAGCACACTTATCCCTAAACTCATTGCATTGTTTACATTAAATGTGTACAGCTTTTTCTATATTAATTATACCTCAATAAAGCAGTTTTTAAAAAAGTTTTAATTAGTTGCTTTTTCTGTTTTTCAAAAAATGTTATAAGTATAGCTTTCTTATATATATTTAGATATTTCTTCCTAGGGTCATTGAATCTAAAATATGTGTAAATCTTCTTTGATACAGAGAAACTCCAGAAATATGGTAGAATACAGCAATAGACTTCAGGACGGAGGCCAAGTGTAAATTTAAACTCTACTGTTTATTAAATTTGTGGTCTTGGGTAAGTCTCCTTAACTCTCAGATGCAAGTCATTCATCTGTAAACAGTGAGATTCATAGACGTGTCTTCCCAATACTAAGCTGTATTGTGATATGACTTAAACCTCTATATTAAAAATGAGCTGTAATTTGCTTTAATTTACTATTTTATTCTGCATGGTCTTCTTATTTTAAATAAAATGTACATTTCCATTATTGTTTTTTAGTTGAATCGAAACCACTGAATCTTGATCATATCTAAAATTTTACTTTTACATCTTCTTGTTAAAATTACAATACCTTGTTCTTCATCACTTATTCCTAGTGTATAGACTACGGAGAACACAGAAAGTTTTCTGAAGCTCCTTCCTATTATATTATCATATAAATTACCAGGCATGTCTGTCTTGATCATACTTTCTTCATCAATCCCCATGTCTTTCTTGGTATCCTGTTTTATAATTTTATCTAGGACTTTTTTCTCACTCCGATTCTAATTTAGATTTGAGTATTATTGATGAGATTGGAAATTCTCCAGGCAGGCATTTTCTTTCTCGTCCTCATTAGGAGCTCTCAGGTGCCCTAGCCAAGCGTCTATCACTTGGGTATATTCATGGTACAGAAAGCCAAATCACATTATGTGCTGCCAGCCAGCAACTGAGACAGAGATCCAAGCTCCACAGCATCCCTTATCTTCCAAATTTCCAACTTTCATTGGAAGCAAAGATGAAAATGCCACCTGTGTCCCAAGGTCCTTCATATTTAAAAAGTGGGAAAATGTATTAAAGATATGCCCTGATTTTGTCTTCTACCACGACACACTCATAGGCTATCTTCAGATCTCGACAGTATTTTATGTAGAATGTTATTTTATTTCACTCTCTTCAAAGTAGTCAGTTGAAGCTGGTATCGCTGTCCTGACCACAAGTGAGAAAATAAGCAGAGTTGTGAAGTGCTTTGCCCAAGGACCCACAGATTTTTAAAAGTAGACCAGATGGAGAATCCAGATCAGGTTTCAGCCTTCATTTCCAGCCAGCTTTTCAACATAGACATGGCACCACTTTTTAAAATTTTCCTGTCAGCTACTGATTATATTGTGTATTTCAACCAGAGATGCCATGTTTTGAAATATTTGTCTATCAAACAAACCACATCTGTTGAGTTATAATTTATTTTCCACTTTTGCTAATCAAGCATGTATAGCTTCTCATCATCATTTTTGATGATCATGAGCTAAAAAACAAGTTATTAAAAATAAGTTAAATAAACCTAATCAAAATAAATGTATCTTGGTATTTACATCAGTCATTATACAAGTAAATGCAAATTTTCTTTAGGCTTTTAAACATTTTGAAAATGACAATGGCTTTGTTTCCAACATGAGTGAACCAGTTTAACTGTGGTTTACATCAGCCTGTGTAACTATGATCATACATCATTACTTGATATTAGCCCTGGAATTAAAAGACAGATTACCCAGCAATCCCATTTCTGGGTATATACCCAAAGGAAAATAAATCATTCTACCAAAAAGACACATGAACTGGTGTGCTTATCACAGCACTATCACAATAGCAAAGATATGGAATCAACCCAGGTGCCCATCAATGGTGGATTGGATAATGAAAATGTGATACATACATATATATCTCATAGAATACTATGCAGCCACAAAAAATAAACAAAATTATGTTCCTTGCAGCAACATGGATGCAGCTAGAGGCCATTATCCTAAGTGAATTAATGCTGGAACAGAAAACTAAATACCATACACTATCATTTATACGTGAGAGCTAAGCATTGGGTACACTTCAACATAAAGAAGGGAATAATAGCTAGACACTGTGGACTACTAAGTGGAGGAGACAGGAATGGGTTCAAGCCTAAAAAACTACTTATTGGGTACTGTGATCACTATCTGGGTGATAGGATCATTTGTACCCCCAACTTCAGTGTCACACAATATACCCATGCAACACATCTGCACGTATACCCCCGAATGTAAAAGTTGAAATTATGAAAATTAAATAAAAATAAAAGACAAATTTGCACGATGTTTTACCCAGTATGTTAGCTGAAAATATGTAATGTTTTAGGTGAAAAAAGTCAGAAGTTATGCAAAAGATAAATTACACAGAAATTACAGGCATACATGAAATATCAGCTCTGTGTATTTTTTTGGCAGTCCCAAGTACCTGAATGAATATGAACAGTTTTTGTTCTTATTTTCTGGTGAATGATTTTTTACAATAATATGACATTATGAAGGATCTTCTAACATGAACATAACAACAGCAAAAATGGGCAAATGTCTCAAGGTTGTTAATGACAAATACGTGGTGGTAATCAATCAGTGTCAGCTCCCACTGTCACCAGCTGGCATAGCAGGCCTCGTCAACACAGCACTCTAAGAAACTACAATTTACCTATGAAGTTGGCACAAGAAATGGTATCCATTTTTTTATTCTTGTTATAACTTTTGTATTTCTGACAATGTTTGTGATATCATTTTACATGAACCTCATACACATTCTACTACTCATTGGCACCTCTTCCCACCTATTAATGTTTTGGCCAACATAAAATTACTGGTTATCTATTGCTGTATCATGAACCACTGAAAAACTTAGTAGCTTTAAACAACAGCAGCAATATTTATTTTACTCATGAATTTACAACTTGGGTAGAGTTGGTGGCAGCAGTTCATTTGTGCTTTGTGTGCCATCAGCTGAAATGGCTCAGCTTAGATTGAAGGAACTTCTTCCAAGACGGCCCACTCAATGGCTGGCAAGTTGATGCTGTTATCAGCTGAGAGCTCATCTGGGGCCTTACTTTCTCCTCATGTGGGCATTTCCATAGGTTACTGAGACTTTGACAGCACAGTGCCTGATCCCAAGTATGAATTTTCCATGACACAGGAAGTGAATGCAGCCAATCTTTTAGGTCCAGAGCCAAGAAACTGGTAACCTGTCACATTCCAATCATTCCATTGGTTGAAGCAGCCACAAAGCCAGCTCAGTTTTAAGAGGCAGAGACAGACTTCTCCTCTCAATGAGAAGAGAGCCATAGAATTTGTAGCCATCTTAATTTATTATGATAATGTTATTTTTATCTCAAGTCAAGAGATAAGAGACAAGGAAGTATAATCGGTTATGGTGACTGCCTATCTAGTCTTCAAATATTTAGCCAACATGCATCAAATTTCTTGCCCTACAGGAAGCCAAGAATTATATCTTAGCTGGGCGTGGTGGCACATGCCTGTAATCCCAGCTACTTGGGAGGCTGATGCATGAGAATCACTTGAACCTGGGAGGCAGAGGTTGCAGTGAACTGAGACTGCACCACTGCACTCCAGTCTGGGTGACAGAGTGAGACACTATCTCAAAGAAAAAAATTATACTATATCAGTTCTTTAATGATTTATTTTTTACATTCAAATGATTCAATGTTACTCAATAAGTGAATGTTTGCAAAATTATTCCAGATAGGTATAAACTTCTGATCGTAATCTTCTTGAGGACTCCAACTTGATATTTAAATCTCTATATGCAGAGACAACTCATGTTTTTGTAAACATATATAAATTCATAGGAAAAGCCATGATAAATAATAGTGACAGTAATTGGTAGGAAAAAATATATATTGTTTGTAAAGATGTTTTATACATATGGACTTTTGTGGTCTGATATGCATACAGTTAACAAATGCATTTATTTTATATCTCTTGCATTGTTATCTATTTCTGTGTCAGAAGAAAGAAGGCATTTTGCCCCTTTTGTTCTTTCTACCTAAAACCAGTATATAATGAGCTATTTCATTTTTTCCTAGTCACGATCAAAGCATAATTTCAGTTTAATTTTGAGTTTTAAATTTTATACCTTTGACAGATTCCTTCTGAAAAGAATTTATCGTGCTGAAGAGAGTTATAAAATGCAGTGATTAAATATATATAGGTAAATAGATATTTTAAGATAAATCTATCATATATCTCTATATAGAGATCATTTATTACATATATACATATATGTATATATACATATGTGTGTGTATGTATATATGTGTGTGTGTATATATATACATACATATATATATATGGAGAGAGAGAGAAATATTTTGTTTTTCCCTCAGGAGGGAAATGCATTTTCTCTCCTGGAGCAGAAGCATGTACAGGTTAAGAAAAAGATATTCTAAGTGGGTAGAATAGATGACTGACTATTCATCTGTTCTAGCTTCCGGTCCTGCAAGAAGTTTGGTGAATGATAGCTGAATATTTGAAGACTGGATAGAAAGCTACCATAATCAGCCATACTGCCTGTCTCTTTAGGATAGTCTTCAAGGAATCCAGCCATTTTTCCTACCCACTGATGTTGCCACCTTCAGCAATTATATGTGTGTCTATGGGTTGAGGAATAATCCACTAAGCGCACATCAGTTAACAAATGGGTGACTTTAGAGGAAGAAGTTTCAATAGAAGAAGTAAGAAGATGTCAAAGATGACATCCTGCCTCTTGTGGAAGATGGGTACAAACCGAGCTATGTAAAAACCTAGGAGAGTAATATTCTGGCTATCCTTTAAGACTATGTTCTTGAAATATTTGTTAATTAGTTATTTAGAGAAGACAGTGGATACTGCCTATAGAAACTGTGAAAGGACCACTGGTTGCTCACTGCAGAGGTGTCGAGCCACCTGTTGTCCTTCACTTATAACACACCTGCCATTTCCTGGCCATTTCCTACCATACACCAAGCAACTTTTGGACAATTTCTTCCAAATACTTATACTGTTTACTGGAAAGGGCGTAAAGGAAACAATATATTCTCTGTCTCCTATGTTTCCAATGACATAGTAATGCCTTAGAAATATTTCAGTGTTTTAGGAAATTGTTTCTTAACCCAGGTTAGTATACAGAATAAGGGCCAAATTCCTTTATATGGGAAACAATACCCTTCGAAATCTGTGGCTTATATTTCCAAATTAATCTTTTGCTCCTCTTCATCTGGCACTCTTTGCTTCAGCATTTTTAAAACTCTGTGTGTTTTTTGTTGTTGTTTTGTTTTTCTTGTTTTTGTTTTGTTTTGGTTTTCTCTTGTTTTAACTAGTTGTTTTCTTATGCTTCAATCTTTTGTACATGAATTCCTAAGCTTGAAATGCTGCTGCCCCTGTGGTTCGCCATGAAAAATAATTCAATTTAAAGTGATAACTTTAAACAATTTCCTTGACCTGTGTATCTCTTTTGTTGGGTGCTTTTGCCTTTTGGTCTGCATTTTTTTATTAACTTGTACATACCTCTGTAAGAACAGATAGTGTAAAATGTTCTTTAATATTTAATTTACTTTTCTAATTCTTTGAAGAAAACTGGTGTTTCATGTAGGTTAACTTTACATTCCCATCAGCTACCATACAATCGATATCCAATAAATATGAATGAACAGTGTTTGCTGATGGCCGACCTTGACTGAAGAATATTTAATAATTGAGTGGTTGAGAATTCTGAAAAACTTTTTGAAAACACTATGGAAATTGTCAGCCTCAATGCTGGCCTTCATAAGCAAGTACTCTTTGCTTAGGTTACTACATTCTCCCAACCATTTGAAACTGCTGTAAGATAATTATTTAGCATTTATATTATGCATGGGATCCCATCTACAGGGACAGTTTTTCCTTCTTGTACTGCAGTATTTCTTATGCTATAATGAAAGAAAAAATTATTCTAAACCTGTACGTTTAGCTTAAGATTAATGTGTCTTTATCTTATCTAGGTGTTTTAATCCCCTTCCAGCCTTCTTTCCCTCCCTTCCTACATCCTTCCCTTCCTTCCTTCCTTTTCCTTCCTTCCTTTTTTCTTTCCTTCCTTATTCTTACTTCCTTCCCCTTCCTTCTTTCCTTCCTTCCTTCCTTCCCTCCCGCCCTCCTTCCTTCCTCCGTCCTTCCCTCCCTCCCTTCCTTTCTCTCTCTTTCTCTCTTTCTTTTTTCCTATTTCCTTGCATTGCAAAGCCTTCCAAATAAAACTAAATTTAATCATGAAATTCACACAGGATATACAGTTACAAATAATGGATTAGGATGTAATTAGCTATATGTGTGTGAGTACAATAAAATCTCATAATCAAATTATGTGTATCTGTAGTTGTAAAAACATAACATTGAAACACCATATAAATTAATTTAGAGCCATTTTTGATATTTTTGTTAGTATGTAATAATTGTTCATATTTATGGGGTACATCTATGGGATATAATCACGTGGAAATACATAAAAGTATTGCTAGCTTACTGATGGCTCTTAGACAATTACATGGCACCATGGACACATAACTTCTCCGAAAAAGGAGTTTCTCTTTTGAAATGTGAGATGCAATGGGAGACCCTCAAATGGTCATATCTCCAAAGTTAACTCATTATGTCATTGTCTCAAAGTACCTGAATAAAGCTATTTTGAGCTTCAGTCCCCGACGGCATAAATTCTCATTTTCACATGAGTGGTTGCAACTATTCATATGTACTAAGATTTACTAAAGTATCTTTCTGTGGAGGATTATTATAAAATATTGCATTTTCTCAACTACTGGCAATCTAAGTACACCATACTTAAGAAGTCAAGTAAGAGTTTTGGATAATCGTTTTCCTTCCTCCAGAAACTTTATTTTTCTTTTAAATTTAAGGTGATTTATTGGGATATACTATTATCTAAAATGTCAAATGCAGACAAATTTAAATCTGAGAAACAAAATAAGCTTCAGAGTGGTGGGATAGGATGCAGAATCACATGAATCCAGAATGATTGATTTAAATACCCAGCATAACCTCATCTTAGTTTTGCTATAAATACAACAATTAAAACAGGCTCATTTATTATCACCCCCAACCCATTCCAAACTTGCATACACCCTTTTAGGCAATGCCTGATTCCTGGTCTTGCAGGAAAGACTTCCTCTTCAACTCTTTTACTTGGGTGATGCCTACTAATCCTTATTATCTCCACTAGGCAGTCTCCCTAATTCCCCAACCACGTGTACATTTTTTTTTCTGTTCCCCGTAGTATCTTGTGAATATCTACCTCTACATTTAACAGTTTGCATTATAATAACTATTTTTTAAATATTTCTCAGTCACTATACTCTGAACTGTTGAGAGCTATACTGTATGTCTTTATAAATAGAATCAATACAATTTTGTTGGCTGATCAACAAACCAGGCAATATCAAATATTATGTTGGTGCAAAAGCAATTGCAAATTTGCCATTATTTTTAATGGCAAAACCCACAATTACTTTTGCACCGACCTAATAGAATAGAAACTAAGCCCAAGCAAAGTACAATAAGAAAATATAAGCTTTTGCTTAAATAATTCTGATAATTAGTTTATTTTCTTCTGTTACAATATAATTTTACTTTAGTAAGTAATTTTACTTTAATAAAATTATAACTAGTAAAATTATAATGTTTAGGCAAATATAAAATATTTTTAATGATGATTTATTTAACTTATTAATTAATGAGGGAAATTTTAAGATAACCAAACTGGGCTAAATTGCAATTAAGGATTTAGATAAAGAGTATTTAATATATAATGTAAGGGCAATATTTTGAAATTTCATACAAAACTGAATGATGTCTGACAGAGAAACCGTATTTCTCTGCATATTGCCCTGGACAGAAATTAGTTTCATATTGAACACAAGTAACCTCATTTTATGAGGGCATCTCTCACTAGACAAAAGTCAAAACGTCACTCTTACTCTCTGCCCCACAGAGGTGTAACATAATCTAGAAATTGGAAAATCAAGCCCATCATTACACTGAGATACTACTCAGTGTCTATTTTACCTGTTTTCAACTTTTACGTAACTTGTCTGACATTTAAGTTGAGGTTCTCGAATTCAAATGCCAACACATATCAGAAGGCAGTTGAAGTGCAACAATAAGGTAGGCCATGTTTGAACTTGGAGGCCAGCATATTCTGGTGCTTTAGGAAAATCCTGATATCAGAATTCTAGTGTAAAGACTTGTGATTTTAAGATTTGGTCAGTAATTTAAAATATTTTAAGACTCTAGGCCAAACAAAGCTCTTTATGGTTCGTGGAGGCCAAAAGCCACCAGCTCGAGACCTACGTTGTAGAATCCAACAGGCAATCCAGCTTCCCTACAGAAACTGGATTTTATACACTGATTTCTTGCTCAGTACGCAGATTTTTTTTTTTTCTTGGCCTTTAGGAAACACTTCTGCTGTGGAAACCTTTTGAGAGCTAAACTTTTCCCTTACAAATTTGTCTCTGCCCTTTCTTAGTACACATCAGTGATGATATTTTTCTCTAGAGCAGTATCTTAAAAAGTCAATAGCCTACCACCCACTCTGCAGAATCAATTGACCATAGTTAAATTTTTAAGTTAGCCTCATTTTTTCAAGACTATCAGAGATATATTTGTCTAAGTTTAATGTGTTTTTTTAAAAATAATTTTGTGTTTCCTTAGGAATTAGATAAGAAAAATTGTTGGAGCATGCCTCATTTATCCCCCTAGAATTTTAATTAAGGAATGTTTATATATATTTTTAATATCTAAAAACAATTCAGTGAATGCCGTTTACAAATGGTTTGTGATATATACATTTCACTAGCATTCCAGAAATGTGTTAAAGCTTCTCTTAATGATTCCTAAAATAATCATAGAATAATATACATGGACATCATAGTATATTATTTTGATCTTTTGAAAAGATAATGGAAAAATTGATATGCAAAGTTAACTACAAACAGTATATAACTTATTGTCAATTCTGCAATTATCTTCTGGATTTTAATATATAAATACACAATAATTTCTGAAGTTTTAGAAATTTACAAATTAAAAAATAGAGATCACCTGCTGTGACAGAATTGGCCAGGAAGGTAAAATTTTAAAAATAGTTTTATTGTTTTCAATTGGTTTCTTAGTGAGCACAAAAATATGGAGCAAAGACATCACTCAGGAAGGATCTAAGCTATATATGTATTGATTAGGATTCTCAAAATACAGAATTTTCTGAACATTTGCTTTCCCTAGTTAAATGAGAGTTTCAACCACTTTATTTTAAATTAGTTGTGCAACTGGTATTTAAAAAAACAATAATAATAATAAAAAAAAAAACTCTTCTTACTGCCTAAGGAAATGGCATCTATTGTGTGTGTGTGTGTATGAATAATCTAATTGAGTGTATAAACTACCACATTATAACCGCAAGCTGTATTGAAAAATAAATATCAGCTATAAGACTATGTTAACTTTTGTCTTTGTGGTACCTAATCTCCAAAGATGGCCTCAGTGACAGAGTCCTCACAGTCTTCATGTTTTTGTGTGGTTTCTTCCGATACTCAATTTGTGACTTGTTTAACCGATTGAGTACATGCAATGAAAAAAAAGACACTTTGACTCTTGCAGGTGTAGACCTTAAAAGGGGCCAGCCCTCTCTACTTTTTAACATAATGTCTGATCTGCCACTTTTTTTCTCATTAAAAAAAAAATTGCTATCTCTACCTTCTTCCTCCCATTGCAAACGCCACTGAAAGTGATTTTTGTCAAATTTACCTGTCATCTCCTTGTTTTAAATTCAATGAAACCATTTAAGTGCATAAATTATTCAACCTTTGTGTGGCACTGGAAACTTTCTTTTATTCCCAGTTTCTTAAAATAGCCTCTTTAGTTTCTTCCAGTTTTTGTCTTTGTCCAGTTGTTCTCACCCTGTTTGTGGATTACCCTCTTCCAGAGAATGTTGGTATTCTCATAGATCCACTATCTGCTTTCTCTTCTTATTCCACACATTCTCAAGTAATTTTATCTAGGCCCATGGCTTTAATCTCATGTTGCTGACTTCCCAAATTCCATCTCCATTACAATCCCATTTGCTTAGTTCCAGAATTTCTTACCCAGTTGCCAACAAGACAAGTTTATTGGACTTTTCTTCGGGGTCCTGAAACCAGCATACTCAAATCGCATTCATTCCTGTCCTCAGCACATTCCAGGTGAGAGCCCCGAAACCTCTTCTTATTCTAGAAATAGAACATCTAGTTGAATAAGCCAGAAGCCAAGATTCATTCCTGGCTCTTCTCTCTTTCACTTTCCCTGCATGCATTGAACCTGTATTTTGTGCCCTTTGTTTTAAATTTCACTTTAACAATTCAGTTTATTTCTACCTAACAACTTGTAATAAAACAGGTTGGTGTCATGGCAGAGAATGCAGAATAGTCAGTAGTTGAGTTCTGCTCAAACCAATTCCAGATAGATAGGCTCACGGAAGAAGAACCAGGAAATCCAAGGGATAGGACAGGTCCTCAAATTTTTCTCTGCCTCAGAATTGTCTCAGTAATATGCATTCACCAACATCTGGAGGACCCAAAGTTAGCTAAGGAGCAGATAATCTCAAGGAATCTTTGTCAGAACCATCCTCCAAAACAAGTGCTTAGCAAACTGCTCTATGTGACAGTGCATTATGATAAGAGCAAGTGGCCCTGTTTATGGGAGCTTTTGGATATTAACCAGTATCTCATCCCTTAAAGATAGATGTCCCTATAAGTGATTGTTGAAGGTGGAAAGTTAGAAGTAAGCAATAGTTTGAGACTATTTTAAGTTTACCCTCAACGAGCTGGAAATCAGTTATATTTTATTTGGTATTTACTCATTTTTCACCATTATGTAATTCAAGCTATAATTTCAGTACTACTTGTTGTTAACTACTTGCTATAGACAAGTAGATAAGTAAAGGCCTAAACAGTATCTCAAAACTAAAAGAGGAGATTTCCTAAGTATACTGTCAGGAGCTTCCTGGCCATCGGGATATTTTTTAGTGTTGTCCTGTAGCATAGTCAATCACCAAATTCTGTCAGTTCTGTCATCACAACATCTCTAGAGTAAATGTAATACATTATTCATTTTTCTGTTTTAGTTTAAGCCTTATTACGATCCAACTCAAATTACTCGAATAATTTTCTAAATAGCCTTCCTGCTTCTAGTCCTGACCATCTGCAAGTCAATTCATTTGAAAGTTTTTCAAGAGGGAAAGCAGTTTACTTAACCATGTCTCCACTCCACAGCTTCACCCCATCCCCAACTGTTCTAAACCTTGCTCTGCTCTCTAAGATAAAATCTAAATGTATTTGAATGGCTGATAGGGCCTTATCCAGTCAAGCCCTGGCCTATCTTGCTAGTCCCATCTCCTGCCACTATTTCTATTCCCACTTCATCATCCACTCCTCTCCCACTCCCAGTCCCATACCTCCTGATTCATTCTGCTTAATTCCTGTGTTTCTCCCCAGACTCCAATGAGGCAGTACCTCTGTCAGCTTTCTCTGAACCTCATTAGGAGTCTACAGAGTTACCTATTCATATTGCTATCCGAGCGCAGAATACTTACTGAATTTCATTACACTCCTATGCTCACTTGGCTCTCTCTTCTACCTGCACCGAGTCTCTTGGGAATCCAGACCATCTTATTCATTCACTGCTTAGCATAATTCCTGTCCCTAGTGGACACGTAATAAATATCAGTTAAATATTCAATGAACAAATGAATCCTCTGTCCTCATAATATACTGCTTTATTTTATATTCTAAGACTATGCTTCAGAAAATATAGAAATCAACAATGCTATTCTGATTAAAGTAGTAATAATAATAATAATAATAATAATAATGTTTCTTTATCTCTGGACCTAAGATGTCAACACAGGTAAAACAAAAGCTATTTTTTAAGATATTAAACTTAGGCTAAAAAACAGAAAAATCCACTTAATGCAAACAGCAGCTACTTATCAAAATATAAATAAAGGAATATTATGGAGAAAATAATTCTCTAGTGTGCTTAATTCACCCGAGCCTCAACAGTTTCTGCTGAGTAAAAGCTATAATGCCCAATGAAGTTTTACATTTCCATAGAAAACAAAAATTATTTCCAGATGTTTGCTAAGAATAAAATATCTGTATGTATGCATAATTGGTATCAAAAAGCTAGCAAAAGCAATTAAAATAGCTTTCTGTATAATTTCTCAGATATTATGAATACATGGATGAATACACAGGGAAAGAATTAAAGAGCATTACACTTTGTCAATGTTCTAAATAATGGAACATGCAATATATGTCCTAGAAAATGGAATTTGACTTAAACGGCAAAATAAAAGCCAAAGAGGATGAAATAAACAGAATCACTTTCTAAAATTTCATCTCTGTTCTAGATTCCTTATGGAATTTGCAGTAGGAAAAACTTAAATATGCAATGAGTATATTAAAATCCAAAGGAAATATCAGTACTTACTTGGATTGGATATCAAAAACTAAAAGACAAAGTCAGTTGTATTAGATGGCTGGGGAAATATCAGGACTCTGAAAAAAATTATTTTTGCTAACAATTGTATTGTTTATTCTTCTACTTTTACTAATGTGAACTTTGAAGGAGTATATTTGTTGCTCTTTGAGCCCTTTACAGTTTTTCTTGCATATATGCTCCTTTTTTTTTTTTTTTTTTTTTTTGAGACGGTCTCTGGCTCTGTCACCCAGGCTGGAGTGCAGTGGTGCGATCTCGGCTCACTGCAAGCTCCGCCTCCCGGGTTCACGCCATTCTCCTGCCTCAGCCTCCCGCATAGTTGGGACTACAGGCGCCTGCCACCTCGCCCGGCTAATTTTTCTTTTTTTTTGTATTTGTAGTGGAGACGGGGTTTCACCGTGTTAGCCAGGATGGTGTCGATCTCCTAAACTCGTGATCCACCCGTCTCGGCCTCCCAAAGTGCTGGGATTACAGGCGTGAGCCACCGTGCTCAGCCATATGCTCCATTTTTTACTTTATCTTCCTCAGGAGCAGTGGCTGGCAGTGAGTGTAGGGGAGATTGTGGCTTTCATCATATGCTCTCCTGAACTACTCATAATTTCTCACTTTTAATCCCTCTTCTGAATCTAAAGAATGCAGTGCTTTTGAAATATACTTTGTTTCTTCATCCATATTTCAAAGAAGCTATATTACAGTAACGTACATTTCTTCTAGTACTTAAATAACTGGAACTTATATGACACTTGGGACAAAACTGGTTCATACTGAATTTTGCTATAATAAGAAAAGAGTTATGGCAAGTTTCCACCACATTGTAATCTTATATGTAGAAACTGTATAAAGGGTATGCAAAAACAGTATGCAGATGAAAATTTTCACAATTCATATGCAGGACAACCACCTGTGGCTTTCATCACTTTCTCTTCATTTAAGCTAACTTCCCTTGCAAACTTCCATTTCCACTAATGCCAGAGACAGTTTAAACGAGCCAGTGAACGTTAACCTAGTCTCTTCTGGTTAACTGGAGCCCTTTCTTGTAAATGTTCCGTCTCATGAGCTGCTCCTCACTTTCTTATCCCCACCAATAAAGTAGCTGAGAGCATGTGGCTGCCATTGCAGCCTCAGGGCAGTGAGGATGAAATCTCTGTTTCCCGAGATGGGCCCTCGATGACATGGTTTTTCCGACGTGTGGTAAGGTCATGAAACACATGCCCAGCAAATCACATGATGTCATTGTCTCCTCTCTAACCACACTGACTCAGTGACTGGTCAGAACTACTCGAGTAGAGCATGCAGACTGCCTCTGGACTACCAGCTGATTTTACTGGTCCTCAAATGACATATCTACCGATATTGGGAGCAAGAGTTGGAACACATTTTTATCAACTTCACGTTGGGGCAACATTCAAGACTGTGATCTATGGGCTTGTACCATTAAACAGGGTATTGTTCAGTTCAGGTAATGCCAGACTCACTTCTGTGGATTACACACTGGCCATGCACAGTGCGATCAAATATCGGACCTTGAGGGGTTGGATAAAATCCTGTTTTGTCACCAGAGATAGCTTGAGAATCATTTTCTTATGAGATATACCCATTTTCACAGCTGTAAACACCATTACTATGCTGAAAACTCTCTAATTTATAACTCTACCCCAGATCTGTCTTCTGAGCTCCCAACTCAGCAAATTGCATACTCAATAATTTCATTTGCATGTAATAAGCTCCCCAAACTTAATATGTTAAAAACCAAATTTCTGACCCCCACTCCAACAAAATAAAACAAAATGAAACTAAAACCTGATCCTTCTCAGTCTTTCCATCTTAGAAATGACAACTTTGTTCTTTTATTCATACAAAATTAGTGAATTCATCAAGAAGATTTTTATCTTTTATTACCACCCTGGTCCAGATCTGACCTCTCTCTATCCTCCTGTTGCAATCTCCTTTAGAACCTTAGGCAAAGGAATCAGCGGATCTCACAGACCTAGAGAGGAGAAAGGTGGTCACCAGAGGCCTGCAGAGAGAGAGGAAAGGATGGGCAAAGAGAAGATATTAATCAAAGGTTACAAAGATTCAGCTAGACTGGGGGAATAGGTTTGGCTGATCTCTTGCCCCGCATAGTGACTGCCATTAGTAATAATGTATATCTCCAAATTGTTAAAAGAATAGATTGTTAACATTTTCACCCCATTAAAAAAGATAAATTGGTGAGGTCATAGAATATGTTAATTTGAGTTTTTCTCTACTATATATGTAAATCAAAACATCACATTGTACACCGTAAATATACATAATTATTATATGTCAATTTAAAATAAAGTTAAATTTCTTTTAAAAGTATAAATTAGATAACGTTAATTCAACACTCACAACCCTTCATTGCTTTCCATGTTACTTATTAAATAGCTCAGGTTCTCAAAATAGCCCACAATATCTTAATGATTTCACCAATAAGCAAGCTTTTCAGCCACCCTGCCTCTAACTTACTCGTCTCCATTCACACTGGCCTCCTGGTTGTTACTCTAGCATAGCAAGCACACCTCTGCTCAGGAACCTTATATTTGCTGTTGCTTCTCCTTGGACCTCTATACACGTCACCTTTTCAGATAGAACATCCCTGAAGACCCTCTATAGAATTGTGGCCCCATACCTGTACTCGGTCCCTGTAATCTCGCCACGAAATGTGGCAGGTTTACATAATACTGTACCCTTAGTGTCTAGAACAATGTCAGGTATTTATTGAGAAGACATTCAAACTTTGTTGAATGAGAGAATTCATCTTTGTTTGTTTGTTTGTTTGAGACAGAGTCTTGCTCTGTCACCCAGGCTGGAGCACAGTGGCGCGATCTCGGCTCACTGCAAGCTGCGCCTCCCAGGTTCACGCCATTCTCCTGCCTCAGCCTCCTGAGTAGCTGGGACTACAGGCACCCGCCACCACGCCTGGCTAATTTTTTGTATTTTTAGTAGAGACGGGGTTTCACTGTATTAGCCAGGATGGTCTCGATCTCCTGACCTCGTGATCCGCCCACCTCGGCCTCCCAAAGTGCTGGGATTACAGGCGTGAGCCACCGCGTCCGGCCGAGAATTCATCTTTTGAGCATGGGGCTCAGCTCTTGTCACTGACTGTGAATCGTATTGTGCTGCTCACAAAGTTCAATGGTTTTCTTAATGTGGAATAATTTTATGTATGAGCAGATAGAAGGGAACCAAGAGTAACATCTCAAGCTCACCTACCTTGAAAAGTCCCTTTGTCCTTACACCTTACCACCGCATACTGGATGTGGCAATGAAGTAGAACACCAGCCTAGTGTTCCTCAACCTCAGCACTATGACATTTGGGGACAGATAATTCCGTGTAGTGGGAGATTGTCCTCTGCATTGTTGCTTAGCCGAATCCTTCCCATAGGCCTAACAGGTGCCAGATACTAGTAACAATGCCTACCTCCGCCCCTACTCACGTTGTGACAATCAAAAATGTCTCCTGAACTTATCAAAAGTTCCCTGGAGTCGGGAGGGGGAAATTGCCTCTGGCCTAGAAGATCTTGGATGCCTCCTTAGCCTTTGAGGGATGTGAGGATTTCATCAGGAGTTTTATAATTTGGCCTTCACCTACCACACCTTTCTGCCTGAGACTCAGAGAACTGGGAATCTGTCCTCTTAGGGGCTCCGGTTTTATCCACATTCTCATCACCTCACCTTTAATTTCCTTGATACAGAATTCTTTCTACATTCTCTTCCTATTTGGAAGGACTTCCCCTTTCATCCTCTTACGAGTTGGTTCCAGCAGAAGTTTGGAGTAAAATTCTTTGATCAGAGTTGCCTGAGTCTGGCTCTTGATTTATAAAGAAAGTGTATAGAATTTAGAAAATATTTTGATCTTCCACAGAGACTAGCTTTCCCCAAGTCTTTTTCATTCAGAGACTCAAAGAAGTCTAATGTGACAGTCAAACAACTTTTCTTTGTAGCTGTCATTTGCCCTCCTTCTAAAGCATGGGACCTCAGTGGGCAATGAGTGATAAGCCAGTGGGTGTTACTGTATTAGCAGAATGAAACCTATAACAATTTTTAACTTAATACAATAAAATTTGGTTTACGAAGGAGGAGCCAAGATGGCCGAATAGGAACAGCTCCGGGTCTACAGCTCCCAGCGTGAGCGATGCAGAAGATGGGTGATTTCTGGAAATCATCTGAGGTACCGGGTTCATCTCACTAGGGAGTGCCAGACAGTGGGCGCAGGCCAGTGGGTGCACGCACCACACCGTGCGCGAGCCGAAGCAGGGCGAGGCATTGCCTCACCTGGGAAGCGCAAGGGGTCAGGGAGTTCCCTTTCCGAGTCAAAGAAAGGGGTGACGGACGCACCTGGAAAATCGGGTCACTCCCACCCGAATATTGAGCTTTCAGACCGGCTTAAAAAACGGCGCACCACGGGACTATATCCCACACCTGGCTCGGAGGGTCCTACGCCCACGGAGTCTCGCTGATTGCTAGCACAGCAGTCTGAGATCAAACTGCAAGGCGGCAGCGAGGCTGGGGGAGGGGCGCCCGCCATTGCCCAGGCTTGCTTAGGTAAACAAAGCAGCCAGGAAGCTGGAACTGGGTGGAGCCCACCACAGCTCAAGGAGGCCTGGCTGCCTCTGTAGGCTCCACCTCTGGGGGCAGGGCACAGACAAACAAAAAGACAGCAGTAACCTCTGCAGACTTAAATGTCCCTGTCTGACAGCTTTGAAGAGAGCAGTGGTTCTCCCAGCACGCAGCTGGAGATCTGAAAACGGGCAGACTGCCTCCTCAAGTGGGTCCCTGACCCCTGACCCCCGAGCAGCCTAACTGGGAGGCACCCCCCAGCAGGGGCACACTGACACCTCACACAGCAGGGTATTCCAACAGACCTGCAGCTGAGGGTCCTGTCTGTTAGAAGGAAAACTAACAAATAGAAAGGACATCCACACCGAAAACCCATCTGTACATCACCATCATCAAAGACCAAAAGTAGATAAAACCACAAAGATGGGGAGAAAACAGAACAGAAAAACTGGAAACTCTAAAACGCAGAACACCTCTCCTCCTCCAAAGGAACGCAGCTCCTCACCAGCAACGGAACAAAGCTGGATGGAGAATGACTTTGACGAGCTGAGAGAAGAAGGCTTCAGACGATCAAATTACTCTGAGCTACGGGAGGACATTCAAACCAAAGGCAAAGAAGTTGAAAACTTTGAAAAAAATTTAGAAGAATGTATAACTAGAATAACCAATACAGAGAAGTGCTTAAAGGAGCTGATGGAGCTGAAAACCAAGGCTCGAGAACTACGTGAAGAATGCAGAAGCCTCAGGAGCCGATGCGATCAACCGGAAGAAAGGGTATCAGCGATGGAAGATGAAATGAATGAAATGAAGCGAGAAGGGAAGTTTAGAGAAAAAAGAATAAAAAGAAATGAGCAAAGCCTCCAAGAAATATGGGACTGTGAAAAGACCAAATCTACGTCTGATTGGTGTACCTGAAAATGATGTGGAGAATGGAACCAAGTTGGAAAACACTCTGCAGGATATTATCCAGGAGAACTTCCCCAATCTAGCAAGGCAGGCCAACGTTCAGATTCAGGAAATACAGAGAACGCCACAAAGATACTCCTCGAGAAGAGCAACTCCAAGACACATAATTGTCAGATTCACCGAAGTTGAAATGAAGGAAAAAATGTTAAGGGCAGCCAGAGAGAAAGGTCAGGTTACCCTCAAAGGGAAGCCCATCAGACTAACAGCGGATCTCTCGGCAGAAACCCTACAAGCCAGAAGAGAGTGGGGGCCAATATTCAACATTCTTAAAGAAAAGAATTTTCAACCCAGAATTTCATATCCAGCCAAACTAAGCTTCATAAGTGAAGGAGAAATAAAATACTTTACAGACAAGCAAATGCTGAGAGATTTTGTCACCACCAAGCCTGCCCTAAAAGAGCTCCTGAAGGAAGCGCTAAACATGGAAAGGAACAACCGGTACCAGCTGCTGCAAAATCATGCCAAAATGTAAAGACCATCGAGACTAGGAAGAAACTGCATCAACTAATGAGCAAAATCACCAGCTAACATCATAATGACAGGATCAAATTCACACATAACAATATTAACTTTAAATGTAAATGGACTAAATGCTCTAATTAAAAGACACAGACTGGCAAGTTGGATAAAGAGTCAAGACCCATCAGTGTGCTGTCTTCAGGAAACCCATCTCACATGCAGAGACACACATAGGCTCAAAATAAAAGGATGGAGGAAGATCTACCAAGCAAATAGAAAACTAAAAAAGGCAGGGGTTGCAATCCTAGTCTCTGATAAAACAGACTTTAAACCAACAAAGATCAAAAGAGACAAAGAAGGCCATTACATAATGGTAAAGGGATTAATTCAACAAGAAGAGCTAACTATCCTAAATATATATGCACCCAATACAGGAGCACCCAGATTCATAAAGCAAGTCCTGAGTGACCTACAAAGAGACTTAGACTCCCAAACATTAATAATGGGAGACTTTAACACCGCACTGTCAACATTAGACAGATCAACGAGACAGAAAGTCAACAAGGATACCCAGGAATTGAACTCAGCTCTGCACCAAGCGGACCTAATAGACATCTACAGAACTCTCCACCCCAAATCAACAGAATATACATTCTTTTCAGCACCACACCACACCTATTCCAAAATTGACCACATACTTGGAAGTAAAGCTCTCCTCAGCAAATGTAAAAGAACAGAAATTATAACAAACTATCTCTCAGACCACAGTGCAATCAAACTAGAACTCAGGATTAAGAATCTCACTCAAAACCACTCAACTACATGGAAACTGAACAACCTGCTCCTGAATGACTACTGGGTACATAACGAAATGAAGGCAGAAATAAAGATGTTCTTTGAAACCAATGAGAACAAAGACACAACATACCAGAATCTCTGGGACGCATTCAAAGCAGTGTGTAGAGGGAAATTTATAGCACTAAATGCCCACAAGAGAAAGCAGGAAAGATCCAAAATTGACACCCTAACATCACAGTTAAAAGAACTAGAAAAGCAAGAGCAAACACATTCAAAAGCTAGCAGAAGGCAAGAAATAACTAAAATCAGAGCAGAACTGAAGGAAATAGAGACACAAAAAACCCTTCAAAAAAATCAATGAATCCAGGAACTGGTTTTTTGAAAGGATCAACAAAATTGATAGACCACTAGCAAGACTAATAAAGAAAAAAAGAGAGAAGAATCAAATAGACACAATAAAAAATGATAAAGGGGATATCACCACTGATCCCACAGAAATACAAACTACCATCAGAGAATACTACAAACACCTCTACGCAAATAAACTAGAAAATCTAGAAGAAATGGACACATTCCTCGACACATACACTCTCCCAAGACTAAACCAGGAAGAAGTTGAATCTCTGAATAGATCAATAACAGGAGCTGAAATTGTGGCAATAATCAATAGTTTACCAACCAAAAAGAGTCTAGGACCAGATGGATTCACAGCCGAATTCTACCAGAGGTACAAGGAGGAACTGGTACCATTCCTTCTGAAACTATTCCAATCAATAGAAAAAGAGGGAATCCTCCCTAACTCATTTTATGAGGCCAGCATCATTCTGATACCAAAGCCGGGCAGAGACACAACCAAAAAACAGAATTTTAGACCAATATCCTTGATGAACATTGATGCAAAAATCCTCAATAAAATACTGGCAAAACGAATCCAGCAGCACATCAAAAAGCTTATCCACCATGATCAAGTGGGCTTCATCCCTGGGATGCAAGGCTGGTTCAATATATGCAAATCAATAAATGTAATCCAGCATATAAACAGAGCCAAAGACAAAAACCACATGATTATCTCAATAGATGCAGAAAAAGCCTTTGACAAAATTCAACAACCCTTCATGCTAAAAACTCTCAATAAATTAGGTATTGATGGGACGTATTTCAAAATAATAAGAGCTATCTATGACAAACCCACAGCCAATATCATACTGAATGGGCAAAAACTGGAAGCATTCCCTTTGAAAACTGGCACAAGACAGGGATGCCCTCTCTCACCGCTCCTATTCAACATAGTGTTGGAAGTTCTGGCCAGGGCAATCAGGCAGGAGAAGGAAATAAAGGGTATTCAATTAGGAAAAGAGGAAGTCAAATTGTCCCTGTTTGCAGACGACATGATTGTTTATCTAGAAAACCCCATCGTCTCAGCCCAAAATCTCCTTAAGCTGATAAGCAACTTCAGCAAAGTCTCAGGATACAAAATCAATGTACAAAAATCACAAGCATTCTTATACACCAACAACAGACAAACAGAGAGCCAAATCATGAGTGAACTCCCATTCACAATTGCTTCAAAGAGAATAAAATACCTAGGAATCCAACTCACAAGGGATGTGAAGGACCTCTTCAAGGAGAACTACAAACCACTGCTCAAGGAAATAAAAGAGGATACAAAGAAATGGAAGAACATTCCATGCTCATGGGTAGGAAGAATCAATATCATGAAAATGGCCATACTGCCCAAGGTAATTTACAGATTCAATGCCATCCCCATCAAGCTACCAATGACTTTCTTCACAGAATTGGAAAAAGCTACTTTAAAGTTCATATGGTACCAAAAAAGAGCCCGCATCGCCAAGTCAATCCTAAGCCAAAAGAACAAAGCTGGAGGCATCACACTACCTGACTTCAAAGTATACTACAAGGCTACAGTAACCAAAACAGCATGGTACTGGTACCAAAACAGAGATATAGATCAATGGAACAGAACAGAGCCCTCAGAAATAACGCCACATACCTACAACTATCTGATCTTTGACAAACCTGAGAAAAACAAGCATTGGGGAAAGGATTCCCTATTTAATAAATGGTGCTGGGAAAACTGGCTAGCCATATGTAGAAAGCTGAAACTGGATCCCTTCCTTACACCTTATACAAAAATCAATTCAAGATGGATCAAAGATTTAAACGTTAGACCTAAAACCATAAAAACCCTAGAAGAAAACCTAGGCATTACCATTCAGGACATAGGCATGGGCAAGGACTTCATGTCTAAAACACCAAAAGCAATGGCAACAAAAGCCAAAATTGACAAATGGGATCTAATTAAACTAAAGAGCTTCTGCACAGCAAAAGAAACTACCATCAGAGTGAACAGGCAACCTACAAAATGGGAGAAAATTTTCGCAACCTACTCATCTGACAAAGAGCTAATATCCAGAATCTGCAATGAACTCAAACAAATTTACAAGAAAAAAACAAACAACCCCATCAAAAAGTGGGCGAAGGACATGAACAGACACTTCTCAAGAGAAGACATTTATGCAGCCAAAAAACACATGAAAAAATGCTCATCATCACTGGCCATCAGAGAAATGCAAATCAAAACCACTATGAGATATCATCTCACACCAGTTAGAATGGCAATCATTAAAAAGTCAGGATACAACAGGTGCTGGACATGATGTGGAGAAATAGGAACACTTTTACACTGTTGGTGGGACTGTAAACTAGTTCAACCCTTGTGGAAGTCAGTGTGGTGATTCCTCAGGGATCTAGAACTAGAAATACCATTTGACCCAGCCATCCTATTACTGGGTATATACCCAAAGGACTATAAATCATGCTGCTATAAAGACACATGCACACGTATGTTTATCGCGGCATTATTCACAACAGCAAAGACTTGGAACCAACCCAAATGTCCAACAATGATAGACTGGATTAAGAAAATGTGGCACATATACACCATGGAATACTATGCAGCCATAAAAGTTGATGAGTTCATATCCTTTGTAGGGACATGGATGAAATTGGAAATCATCATTCTCAGTAAACTATTGCAAGAACAAAAAACCAAACACCGTATATTCTCACTCATAGGTGGGAATTGAACAATGAGATCACATGGACACATGAAGGGGAGTACCACACTCTGGGGACTGTGGTGGGGTGGGGGGAGGGGGGAGGGATAGCATTTGGAGGTATACCTAAGGCTAGATGACAAGTTAGTGGGTGCAGCGCACCAGCATGGCACATGTATACATATGTAACTAACCTGCACAATGTGCACATGTACCCTAAAACTTAAAGTATAATAATAAAAAAAATAAATAATAAAATTTGGTTTACAATCTTCAAGAACATTATAACCATTATATATAATACATGGTAATTTTCAAGTATCTCAAACACACATAGAATTTCATAGAGAGGTATAAATATTTATGCCAAAACACATGGTATAATGATTTCTTTCCTTTGATTAAGAGGCATTTTTATAGTGATCATTATTAAATGAAATAAATATTTGCATGTGGTACAGTATACAATCCTTTCATTACGAAATGTTATTTTAAAAGTATGTATTGGGTCCTGAATCACGATGTTTTAAAATGTTTGATTTTAATGAGTCATTGAATATGTATTAGCTTTTATGAGATGCACATATTTGGAATATGGCTGTATTCGTCAGCATAAGGATGATTTAAATTTTCTTAAAATAGACTATTAGGATGCAGATGTTCTTGCTGACAGGTGCTTCTAAAGCATTAAAAATACATGTAACCACAGTGCTTTTGACAATGTAATTCTGTTGCCTTCACACCTATTAAGTTGAGCAATTTCCCTTATTTTTCTCAAACATGCATACTAATAAAGTCATCTATCAGTGTTTACATATATCTAATAATTGGAAAATTACATTTTTTATCCATAATAAGAAAAAAGATAAATACAATTTTGTGGGAAATGCTATGTTAGCTCTCAAATAATGTAAGTTTAGCAGGGCCTCAGGGTAACAATGTTTTAAATTAATCTTTTGGTACTATACATCAATTTATATTGAAATCATCAATTTATATTCAAATACCTGTAGTGCTAAGACCATGTTTTATTTGTAATATCCCCTTTAAACCTCAAGAAAGAGTCCTTATTCTAATCTCATAATTTAGTGATAAAATGTATATTCACTTTCCCATTTGTGGCATAATTTTCTTAGATGTCAAACATTATTTTTCTAGACTGTGAAAAACAAAGGCTTTAGTACTATTTATTTGACTGCGGGAATGAAAATAACATTGTTGAGTATCTGCCCTAAGCCAATTACTGTGCTAATGACTTTTCTTTTAGAATATTGTTGCCTCTTTATTCTCTTAATCATTTTAACATTCTTTATTTTGACCCACTGCAGTAACATTTGATATACTCATATGTTATACGACAAGTAAACATTTCATTTGCTCCCTTCCTTTGTTGATTTCATAATTTCATGTTATATGTAGATGATGTCTTCAGGAAAATTAATGACTCCTTTATTGGTTAATGGAGTTTATCACTTTTCATAAGACAAGTTTAAGTAATGTCTATAGATTCTGGGTTAGATAAATCAGCAAAGTTTCATAGAGAAAGAGGGCCTGAACCTCGAAAGTTAATTATGCTTTAGAAGGCAAAAATGAGCAGCGGGTCTTTTCAGAAGCGCATAGGGAATATGTAGGATTCCCTAGGTACTAGTAGTTGGCCAGGTTAGCTGACGTGCATGGTATCTGTAAGAGAGCTGCGAATATGGAAAGAGGATGAGGCTGCAACATTGGTGCCTTCTTCATTCAGAGAAGGCACTGGAATGCCAAGCTAAGGGGTTTGTGATTTTCCTGTAGGTCCTAGAAGGTGAAAAAGTTTGATGAAAATTTTTACACAGAGAAGAGAAAGTGAGTTTGTTATTTCAGGCTGCTATAACAAATGATATTAGACTGAGTGGTTTATAAATGAGAGTAATTTATTTCTCACAGTTCTTCAGGCTGAGAAGTCTAAAACCAGGGTGCCAGCATGGTTGAGTTTTTGGTGGTGGCCCTCTTTCGGCAAGGAGACTGCCAACTTCTTGTTATATCCTCACATGGCACAGAGCTCAAAGAAGCAAGCTTTCTTGGGATTCTAAGGTCTTAATCCCATGTGTGAAGGCTCTACCCCCATGACTTCATCTAAACCCTATTACCTCCCAAAGCCCCTCTCCTAATGGCGTCACATAGATAAGTGGGGTATCAACATATGGATTCTTTTTTTTTTCAATAGGTTTTTGGGGAACAGGTGGTGTTTGGTGACATGAACAAGTTCTTTAGTGGTGATTTCTGAGATTTTGGAGCACCCATCACCTGAGCAGTGTACACCGTACCCAATGTGTAGTTTTTTATTCCTCACCACCCTCCTACCCTTTCCCCTGAGTCCCCAAAGTCCCTTGTAACATTCTTATGCCTTTGCATCCTCACAGCTTAGCTCCCACTTATGAGTGAGAACATACGATATTTGATTTTCCATTCCTGAGTTACTTCACTTAGAATAATGGTCTCCAGTTTCATCCAGGTTGCTATGAATGCCAATATTTCATTATTTATGGCTTTTTAAAAGTAATGTTTTTTTAAAACATTATTTATGCTTTATGGCTCAGTCGTATTCATATATATATGAATACACACCACATTTTCTTTATCCACTCTTTGACTGGTGGGCATTTGGGCTGGTTCCATTTTTAATTGTGAATGGTGATGCTATAAACATATGTGCAAGTATCTTTTTTGTATAGTGATTTTTTTTCCCTCTGGGTAGGTACCCAGGGCACGATTACTGGATCAAATTGTGGATCCACTTTTAGTTCTTTAAGGAATCTCCACACTGTTTTTCACAGTAGTTGTCCTAGTTTTCCTTCCCACCAGCTGTGTAAAAGTGTTCCCTTTTCAACACATCCACGCCAACATCTATTATTTTTTTTTAATTTTTTTATTATGGCCATTCTTGCAGGACTAAGAGGGTATCACATTGTGGTTTTGATTTACATTTCCCTGGTCATTAGTGATGTTGAGTATTTTTTCATGTGTTTGTTAGCCATTTGTATATCTTCCTTTGAGAATTGTATATTCATGTCCTTAGCTCACTTTTTGGTGGGATTGTTTTTTTGTCTAGTTGATTTGTTTCAGTTCCTTGTAGATTCTGGATATTAGTTCTTTGTCTGATTTATAGATTATAAAGATTTTCTCCCACTCTGTGGGTTGTCTCTTCACTCTGCTGATTATTTCTTTTGCTGTGCAGAAAGAAGCTCTTTAGTTTAATTAGGTTCCATCAATTTATCTTTGTTTTTTTGTTTTTTTGTTTTTTTTGCATTTTCTTTTGGGTTCTTGGTCATGAAGTCTTTGCCTACACCAAGGTCTAGAAGGGTTTTCCCAATGTTATCTTCTAGAATTTTTATAGTTTCAAGACTTATATTTAGGTTTTTGATCCATCTTGAGTTAATTTTTGTATAAGGTGAGAGATGAGGATCCAGTTTTCTTCTTCCACATGTGGCTTGTCAGTTATCCCAGCACCATTTGTTAAATAGGGTATACTTTCCCCACTTTATATTTTTGTTTCCTTTTTCAAAGATCAGTTGACTATAAGTATTTGGCTCTATTTATGGGTTCTCTATTCTGTGGTCTACATGACTGTTTTTATACCAGTACCATGCTGTTTTGGTGACTATGGCCTTATAGTATAGGTTGAAGTAGGGTAATGTAATGCCTCTAGATTTGTTATTTTCACTTAGTCTTGCTTTGGCTGTGCAGATTCTTTTCTGATGCCATATAAATTTTAGAACTTTTTCTTCTAGTTTTCTGAGGAATAATGGTGGTATTTTGATGGAAATTGCATTGAATTTGTAACTTGCTTTTGGCAGTATGGTCATTTTCACAATATTGATTCTACCCATGCATGAGCATGAAATGTGTTTCCATTTGTTTGTGTCATCTATGATTTCTTTCAGCAGTGTTTTGTAATTTTCCTTGTAGAAGTCTTTCACCTCCTTGATTAAGTATATTCTAAGTTTTTTTGTTCGTTTGTTTGTTTGTTTTTGCAGCTATCGTAAAAGGAGTTGAGTTCTTGATTTGATTCTCAGTTTCATCACTGTGTATGTATAGAGCTACTGATTTTTGTACATTAATTTTGTATCCTGAAACTTTGCTGAATTCATCTACCAGTTCTAGGAGCTTTATGTATGAGTCTTTAGGGTTTTCTAGGTATAGAATTATATCATCAGCAAAAACAGTTTGACTTCCTCTCTACTGATTTAGATACACTTTATTTCTTTCTCTCGTCTGCTTGCTCTGGCTAGGACTTCCAGTACTATGTTGAATAGAAGTGGTGAAAGTGGGCATCCTTGCCTTGTTCCAGTTCTCAGGGCAAGTATTTTCAGCTTTTATCCATTCAGTATAATGTTGACTGTGGGTTTGTTATATATGGCTTTTATTACCTTAAGGTATGTCCTTCTATGCCGATTTTGCTGAGGATTTTAATCATAAAAGGATGCTGGATTTTGTCAAATGTTTTTTCTGCATCTATTGAGATGATCATGTGATTTTCATTTTAAATTCTGTTTATGTGGTATATCACATTTATTGACTTGTTGATGTTAAACCATCCCTGCATCCTTGTTATGAGACCCACTTGATCATGATGGATTATCTTTTTGATATGCTGTTGGACTTGGTTAGCTAGTATTTTATCGAGAATTTTTTGCATCTGTGTTCATTAAAGATATTGGTCTATAGTTTTCCATTTTGTTATGTCCTTTCTTGGTTTTGGTATTAGAGTGATACTGGATTCAAAGAATGATTTAGAGAGGATTCCCTCTTTCTCTTTCTCTTTCTCTAAAAATATTGTCAATAAGATTGGTACCAATTATTCTTTAAATGTCTGATTGAATTCAACTGTTAATCTATCTGGTCCTGGACTTTTGTTGTTGTTGATGATAACTTTTTAATTACCATTTCAATCTTGCTACTTGTTATTGGTCTGTTCAGAGTTTCTATTTCTTACTAGTTTAATCTAGGAGGGTTGTATATTTCCAGGAATTTATCCATCTCCTCTAGGTTTTCTAGTTTATGCATGTAAAGATTTTCAGGGTAGCCTTGAATGATCTTTTGTATTTCTGTGGTAGCAGTTGTTTTATTTCTAACTGAGCTTATTTGGATCTTTTCTCTTCTTTTTTTGGTTAATCTCACTAATAGTCTAGAAATTTTATTTATCTTTTCAAAGAACCAGCTTTTTGTATCATTTATCTTTTGTATTTTTTGTTTGTTTTGATTTCATTTAGTTCTGCTCTGATCTGGATTATTTCTTTTCTTCTGCTGAGTTTGGGTTTGGTTTGTTCTTGTTTCTCTAGCCTCCTTGAGGTGTGACCTTAGACAGTCTATTTGTGTCTTTCAGACTTTCTGATGTAGGCATATAATGCTATGAATTTCCCTCTTGTCACTGCCTTTGCTGTATCTCAGAGGTTTTGATACGTTGTGTCACTATTATCATTCAGTTCAAAGAAATTTTTAATTTCCTTCTGGATTTCATTGTTGACCCAATGATCATTGAGGATCAGGTTATTTAATTTCCAGGTACTTGCATGGTTTTGAGAGTTTCTTTTGGAGTTGATTTCAAATTTTATTCCACTGTGGTCTGAGAGAGTACTTGATATAATTTTGATTTTCTTAAATTTGATTTGTGTCTTATCATATGATCTATCTTGGAGAATGTTCCATGAGCTGATAAATAGAATGTATATTCTGCAGTTGTTGGTTAGAATGTTCTGTAAATATCTGTTAAGTCCATTTGTTCCAGGGTATAGTTTAAGTCCGTTGTTTGTTGACTTTCTGTCTTGATAACCTGTCCAGTGCTGTCAGTGGAGTATTGAGGTCCCCCAGTATTATTGTGTTGCTGTCAATCTCATTTCTTAGGTCCAGTAAGTAATTGTTGTATAAATATGGGAGCTCCAGTGTTAGGTGCATGTATACTTAGGATTATGATATTTTCCTGTTGCACTAGTGCTTTTATCATGATATAATGTCCTTCTTTGTCTTTTGATATGGTTTGGCTGTGCCCCCACCCACATCTCATCTTGAATTGTAGCTCGCACAATTCCCACATGTTGTGGGAGGGACCCAGTTGGAGGTAATTGAATCATGGGGTGGGTCTTTCCTGTGCTATACCCATGATGTTGATTAAGTCTCACAAGATCTGACGGTTTTATAAAAGGGAGTTTTCCTGTACAATTTCTCTCTTTGCCTGCTGCCATCCATGTAAGACATGACTTTGCACCTCCTTGCTTTCCACCATGATTGTGAGGCCTCTCCAGCCATGTGTAACTGTTAGTCAATTAAATCTCTTTTCTTTCCACGTTACCCAGTCTTGGGTATGTCTCTATCAGCAGTGTAAAAATGAACTAATACGTCTTTTTTAACTGCTGTTGCTTTAAAGTTTGTTTTCTCTGATAGAATAATAGATAACCCAGTGCTCTTTTGGTGTTCATTTGCATGAAATACCTTTTTCCACCCCTTTACCTTAAGTTTATGCAAGTCCACATGTGTCAGGTGAGTCTCTTGAAGACAGCAGCTACTTGGTTGGTGAATTATTCATTATGCCATTCTGTATCTTTAAAGTGGAGCATTTAGGCCATTTACATTCAATATTAGTATTGAGAGGTGAGGTATTGTTTTATTCATCATGTTATTTGTTTCCTGAATACCTTGGTTTATTTTCATTATGTTGTTGTTTTATAGGTCCTGTGAGATTTATGCTCTAAGGAGATTCTATTTTGGTGTGTTTCGAGGATTTTTTTCAAGATTTAGAGCTCCTTTTAGCAGTTCTTATAGTGCTGGCTTGGTAGTAGTGAATTCTTTCAAAATTTGTTTGTCTGAAAAAGATTATCTTTCTTTCATTTATGAAGCTTAGTTTCACTAGATACACAATTCTTGCCTGACAATGTTTGGTTTAACGAGGCTAAAGATAGGACTCCAGTCCCTTCTAGCTTGTAGAGTTTCTGCTGAGAGATCTGCTGTTAATCTGATAGGTTTTCCTTTATAGGTTACCTCATGCTTTTGCCTCACAACTTATAAGATTATTTCCTTTATCTTGAATTTAGATAACCTGATGACAATGTGCCTAGGCAGTGATCCTTTTGCAATGAATTTCGCAGGTGTTTTTTGAGCTTCTTGTATTTGGATGTCTAGATCCCCAGCAAGGTCAGGGAAGTTTTCCTCAGTTATTCCCTCAAATATGTTTTCCAAACTTTTAGATTTCTCTTCTTCCTCAGAAACACCAATTATTCTTAGGTTTGGTCATTTACCATAATTGCAAACTTATTGGAGGTTTGCTCCTTTTTTAAAAATTCATTTTTCTATTTCTTTGTCAGATTGGGTTAATTCAAAAGCCTTGTCTTTGACCTCTGAGGTTCTTTCTTCTACTTGTTTGATTCCATTGCTGAGACTTGCCAGTGCATTTTGCAGCTCTCTAAGTGTGTCCTTCATTTCCAGAAGCTGTGATTATATTTTATTTTTTGCTACATACTTCACTGGAGAGTTTTCCATTAATATCCTGTATCATTTTTTTGACTTCTTTATGTTGGATTTCACCTTTCTTTGGTGTCTTCTTGTTTAGCTTAATAGTTGACCTTCTGAATGGTTTTTCTGGCAATTCAGAGATTTTGTCTTGGTTTGGATTCATTGCTGGTGAGTAATGTGATCGTTTGAGGGTGTTAAAGAAACTTGTTTTTGCCATATTACCAGAATTGTTTTCTGGTTCATTCTCATTTGGGTAGACTATGTCAGAGGGAAGATCTGGGACTCAAGGGCTGCTGTTCAGATTATTTTGTCCCATGGGGGTCCTCCCTTGATGTGGTGCTCTCCTCTTCCCCTTAGGGATGGGGCTTCCTGAGAGCCAAACTGCAGTGGTTGTTATTTGTCTTCTGGATCTAGCCAACCAGTAGAGCTACTGGGCTCCAGGCTGGTACTGGAGAGTATCTGCAAACAGTCCTGTGATGTGATCCATCTTCGGGTCTTTCAGCCATGGATACCAGCAGCTGCTCCAGTGGAGGTAGCAGGGGAGTGAAGTGGACTCTGTTAGGGTCCTTGGTTGTATTTTTGTTACATGCTCTGGTTTTGCTTTTGCTCGCCTCCAGCCAGGAGGTGGCACGTTCAAGAGCACATCAGCTAAGGCAGTATAAGGAGGATCAGGCAGTGGGCGGGGCATACAGCTCCCAAGAGATTACATCCTTTGTCTTCAGAGTTCCTTGACTGTCCCATGGAGCCTGTAGCAGCAGTCTACCTCTTTCAAAGGGTCTGTGGATTCTTTTGGCTTTCCTGGTATGTTCCTGCAGTAGTTCTTGGAGCACAAGTTTACAATGTGGGTCTCCACATGCTGCTCTGTCCATCTAAGTGGGAGCTGCAAGTTGGTCCTTCCTCCTATCTGCCAATTTTCCTCCATTCTCAACATATGGATTCTGAGGAGATGACAAACATTTAATACATAATAATAAGATTTAATAAAATCATGATTTTATAAGCAGATAGAAAAGCCTGACAAGGGGAAATATTACTAAGAGAGTACATCTCAAATGTTACCATAAAAATGTGAAATACTGGCCAGGCGTGGTGGCTTATGCCTGTAAGCCCAGCACTTTGGGAGGCCGAGGAGAGCAGATCACCTGAGGTCAGGCGTTCAAGACCAGCCTGGGCAAGGTGGTGAAACTCCATCTCTACTAAAAATACAAAAATTAGTCGATCATGGTGGCAGGTGCCTGTAATCTCAGCTATTCAGGAGGTTGAGGCAGGAGAATCACTTGAAACTGGGATGCGGAGGTTGCAGTGAGCTGAGATTCCACGCCATTGCACTCCAGCCTGGAAGCCAAAAATGAAACTCCATTAAAAAAAAAAAGTCAAATACTGAAGGTGATAAATAGGTTAATTACCTTGATCTAATCATGCCATATTGTATTGAAAAATAATAACATCACTTTTTGTCCCATAAATATACACAACAATAATTTGTCAATATATAATTAAAAAGAAAAAGTGATTTCTAGAAGATGTTTGGAAGGAAATCAGATGGTAAATCATATTTACTATGTCTTTAATAATTTCACACTGTAGCCGTTTCATGTTTTAAAAATTGTAATAAAAATAAAAAGTATAGTTCTATACTTAAATTTTTTCATTGAATGTTGAACTGTCCACTATGAGGGTTGTGGATTTTAGTTAATCTTTCACTTTGGAAATGCCTTTGCAGACTAAATTTTGTTTAAGTGCACGAGTTGTGAGTAAGCCTGAAAATAGTTTCCTTTTTTCTAATTTTGCATAAAAGTGACATAAATGCCAGCTGCTGCAGCTCAGAGCAAAGAAAACAGATAATAGATACAGGAACCAGTAAAACAATGCTTTCAGAGAATAGTGCTGTAAAGAAAATAAATTAAGATAATAAATGGTAGGGCATATTTTAGGGCAATGTTATGTAATTAGTAAAAAATGGACATTCCACTGAAGCTCAAAGAGCTACATGTTGTATGATTCCATGAATATATCTTCTAGAAAAGGAAAAATTATAAGAACACAAAACAGATCATTGGTTTCCTGGGGCATGCAGCAGCAGAAGAGGTGGACTACCAAGAGGCACAGTGAGGTGTTATGGGAGATTAGACTGTTCTATGTCTTGATTGTGGTGGTAATTATATTATGTGTTTCTCAAAACTTGCAGAATTGCAACATAAAAAGGGTACATTTTTACTATAAATTAATTAGGAATAAAAACTAATGAAAAGGAAAAACAATGTCCTGAGAACAGGATATATGACTTGAGATGCGAATGATGAATCCCAGGCAGATGGATCTGCAAGTGAAACCTAAGCCAGAACATCCTTCGTTTGTTTGAGAAACAGGAAGGCAAGAGTCGTGTATTAGTTCTCATGCGGCTAACAAAGATGTACCCAAGACTGGGTAATTTATTTTAAAATAGGGGTTTAATCGACTCACAGTTCTGCATAGCTGGGGAGGCCTCATAATCATGGTGGAAGGCAAAGGAGGAGCAGAGTCACGTTTTACATGACATGAGAGCTTGTGCGGGGGAATTCCCATTTATTAAATAATCACTACTACGAGAACAGTATTGGGGAAATCACCTCACGATTCAATTATCTCCACCTGGCCCCACCTTTGACATGTGGGGATTATTGCAATTCAAGATGAGATTTGGGGTGGGGACACAGCCAAACCATTTCAGGTGGCCTGAGTCTCCTAAGGAAAGCAAGGGTGGGAAATAATGAGATCAGGTAGCAGATGGAAACTGAACACGAAGACATAGTACTGTGCCTGAAATAAGCTTCTGTGAATTTTCTGCTAATGTAGAAGGTCATTCTAGGTCCTAGACAGCCTTGAATCTAGAGGAAGAAAGAGATGACAGAAGCTAGATAAATGGAGTAAAGAAAAACATCCGTTGAATATAAATCCTTCCTTCCATGGATGCCACTGCCACCCATAATAGAAAATTTCATCTCATTGTACCCTTTCAGAATGATAGATATCACATCAGACCCACCCAGTAATAATGCCAGTAGTCTGTTTATATGACATGCACAATCATTTTAAAATCATACACATATATATATAAAACAATTGTCTGTTTAAACTTAAAGATAATATTGAGATATATTAAATGTACATTTCTGCCCTGTAATTCCTTCACATGTTATATGCTATGGGCAAAGAAAACTTAATAAAGGAAAAAAAAAAAACGCCACTTTCAGCCTTTTCAGTTTTCTCTTAGGACAAAATTGATTTTGCTTTTATTGACATTGTATAGATTGTGTCAAATTTGCATAGTAATTCTAAGCCTTTCCAGTTAATTGACTTTTATATACAATACAAAAAAGTCCCCCCATGTCCTGAACGTAGTGGTGAGGCAAGTCATTTGAGTGAACACCTGCACTCCTGTATCAATATATATGGTTGTTTTGGGAGGTTAATCAATCAATATTTTAAAATAAAAAGGTAAAGAAAACAATGATAAATATCCTAAAGACCTATGAATAGGTGAGAATTGAAGAGAGGCAGTATGGAATTGCAGTGTATAGTGAGAATTCTAAAGTTAGAAAAACAGGATTCAACTTTCATATGCCACATATTAGCTCTGCGATTGTAAAAATGTTACTTAATTCCTCTGATTCTAATTTCTCATTTGTAAATTGGAAGTAATAATAAAACTATAGGGTTTCTTTTTGAAAATAAAATGAGATGCAGCATTTAACACATTGCCTGGAACAGGTTAACTGTTAGTTTCTATTACTTAGAGCAGCACATTGAGATAACTCATTAAAATATATCTAATATTTTTTACTCTACGGGAAATGGGAGAAAAAAAGACGAGTATGTAAAAGGTTTTACTTCTTAAGTGTATTACTAGAGTAAAGACCACAGGAATGCATGCTTGACAACATAAGGGAAAAATGTTTTCAATCACATTTTAAGACAGCATAGCTGATGTAGAAGGGTCTAGAAAAGTCATGCAGACAAGGTCATGCAGAAAATTCCAGCCTTGACTCTTTTGGCTGGGTGATCTGGGGCAAGTTGCTTAATCTTTTAAAGCTCAGTTTCCTCTCTGTGTTTTAGGAATAATAAAAGTACTTTCCTTAAAGGGTGGTTGTTGAGAATTAAAAGAGAGGATGTTTAGCATAGTGTCTGGTACACTGTCAAGGTTTAGGAAATACAGGGATAAGCAGAACATGCTGGTATGCATGAAGGTAGCATTTACTTAACACATGTTCACTGAGTGTTTACTATGTATGGGGCATTGTGATGAAGTTTGTAAGAAACATCAAGATGCACAAGGCATCATCTCTGCTATTATACAGCATTCACTACTTTAGAAATTGATCTTCCTGACAGAAGAGATTGGGTTTCGTTCTCTGTATTCTCATTGCTTGGCACAGTCGCTAGCATATAATATGTGCTTAGCAATATTTTTAAATTGAGTAACTGTAATGATAAATACACACACCTCCTTTCTAATGAAAACTGAGTTTGAGGAAAGAAAAATTGAATTCCCTTCAAGGGAGAAAGAGATCTCACTCTTTAGTGGCTGTTTTACCTGCTTCCAACAGTATTATTGTTTGGCTGCTTTTATTTGTTGTCCGCTACTCCTGGTGGATTTTGCTCCTGTTATTATCGCATTCGTCATTATAATTACTTCTGACCCAACCACAAATAGGTCCTCTAATTTGATCAAGATCTCTCTCGATCTTTATGCACCAAGCTCATTTATTTAGTATATTGGCTTTCAAAGTGTAGTGCCTGGATAAACAGCATCAGTATCACCTGGGACTTGTTAGAATTGAATATTCCTGGGACCTATCCCAGACTTACTGAGTCAGAAACTCAGGAGGTGGGTCACAGAATCTGTATTTTAATGAGCCCTCCCAGCAATCCTGATGCACTCAAACATTTAAGAACTGCTTTCATAGCTTCCCCCAACTGTTGTCTCTCTCTTAAAGTATATGTTTTTTTTCTTCTGCCGCGGTTCTTGGAATAAATTATAGAACTTGAGCTGAATGAATTCTTGTAACTAAACTGAACAATGACATCCCTGCCATGTTCTGTCCCAATAGTGGGTTCCACAGAGTGCCAGGCTGACACTCAGGCCTTGTCAGGTTTCTTGTCTCTAGATCCATTTCTGACCTTTCCAAGTTGTCACCTATAAAATTAGATTTTTTTTAAATTTTTATCTTTCTTTAAGAAAGTTGATCCTGGTGTCTAGAGGTCTAATTCTGCACCACAGATCAGTTTCACTGTCTGGTGACTTAAAGAGTCTTAATGCTGTTGGACTCTGTTATGTTATTCCATTCACTGAGGTAGGCATGGAATCCCTACAGCCTCCCTCTCTGATTCACAAATCACAAAGTATTTAGCAATATATGGTAGATTTATAATGTTCATAACAGTTAGTCAATGTGAGACATTCAGCAGCCAGAGTTCACTTTCCTTAGGAGGTCAGCAGAGGAGACTTCTTGGTGATGTCATCACACTTGTCTTGAAAGACCTTTGAGGGCCAGCCACTATTACTAAAGAAAAAAGTATAAGGTGATAAATAGAGTAATAGTGAGATAAATATATCACTCTATTCTCAGGAGAGTAGGAAGTCAGATGATCTTACCTAACTATTTGACCTGACACTATTTTTTGAAAAAAAATTCTAATCTTAATTGTAGTTCTCATTTAAAGACCTGAAGAGTTTTTTGTTTGTTCATTTGTTTTTGTTTTTTATATTTGTGCTTAAGCTATTTCAAAGCTTATGAATGGAAATTATTTTATAAATCTTTTGATTCATAGAAGTTTCAACCCATAACACTGAAGGAAAATATTGGCATGCCAAGAATTGTGATTCCATACAGGAATAGAATGTCATGCAAAAAAAATTAAAAATGTATGTTTTCTGATTAATATGCCATATTCTTATTTTCCTGGACCTTTAAAAATCATAAGAATTGCTATGGATCAGCCTCACACACCACTCTTTGGATGGTTGTAAGTTCTAGTAGAAGTACATAGTGCTGACCCTTTTAAAATTTCTCTGTTTTACACAGAGAATATAATAATATATGCACCCATATTGACTTCTCTTACATTTTTTTTCTGAAAATAATGAGTACATCTACTGTTGAAGCAAATGCAAAGATTAATCACTTGTAATTTTCCCATCATATATATAAATCGCACCTTTATTTCTGGCTTTCACAGAAAGTAAGTTTCAAAATGAGTTTCAATAAATACATATTATCAAAGTTAAACATGAGAATGAATTTACTTTCATTAAAAATCAATGTTGGACATTATTATTAAGAAGAGCAAGGTGACAAAAATGTAGTGGAAATCAATGTTGGACATTATTAAGAAGAGCAAGGTGACAAAAATGTAGTGGAAACATCCAAATAGTCAAATGATCTATTGTTATGAATTTACCTACGTTAAATTGATCATTTGTTAATTATGTTGTTATGTTAATTATATTATGTTAATTATGTTGTTAATTTGATCATTAGTGAGGGAGGAAGATCCAGTAGTTAAAGAAGGCGGGGATGCTAACTGTCCTTGCTATGTAGTATGTCACAAGGAAAACTGGTCTCAGAGCAAATAACATTAAAAGCAGGCATAACAAGTGTCATACCACTCTCTAAGCTCTATTAAATTCCAGATCCTGTTCTTTTTGATGCTCTGACAACACCTTGAATGTTTACTTGAGATATAATTCATAATATTGTAGCAGCAACATTCAGCTAACCTTTTGGTCAAAATCAGGGCACATACAAAATCTCCAAATAAGCTTCCGAACACACTGACAATTCAATTCTCAAGGTTAAGGTGACAATCCAGAGGGCTGTAAGTTATTGAGATCTCTGGGTCCCTCTACTTCATTCTTTTGTGCAGAAGCAATTGTATGGCACTTCTATCTTGTCCAAACTGGAAGACCAGCCGTTTCACTATTCAATTTGAAAGTATGCTTATGTTATTTATCAAGCCTCTAGCCTTGATTGGAGATAATAATACTCAAATGCTTATAGTAGCTGACTGTGGTACATGGCCTTTGGATTACAATTCTTTAGTTGCTAGCTAACCAATCTTTCAGAATATTTTATTATTAAATAACTAACCATGAATTCTTATATTTCTGATTAGTACGTTTCAAATTGTATATTAAAACCAATCTGCTGTGTACATTTGTGTGTGTGTGTGTGTGATTCATTGACAATATAACAAAAATTTTAACTTTCTTGAAAAGGATACTCTTCTCCTCTAACAGTACTCTTCTTTAGTCTGTTTTTAGCTGTCAGTACTTTGTGTAGAAAAATTTCCTCTGATATTTGTTTATAATTCCAACTGAGTTTATGTCTGAATTTGAACTTTTTAAACTTTTCCATGAATTAGACTGTGAGTTTCCTAGGTAGTAAGCTTTTGAGCACTTATCGTGATGCCTGACAAATTACAGATCCTCAATAAGTAGTTGTGGAATGAATGAATGAATTCTTGAACGGGCCTCCTTCCACAATTTTAGTACTCAGTCTATTACCCAGGCTTGTGATCTCTGAAATATTTTGTAGCTTTTGAATGTTATCTAACAAAACAATTTTTAAAACAATCAAAATATTTAAGTGACTTTTGTTACAGTAGGAATGATATAAAGTCTATGAATTAAATTTCACCTAAATATAAATATTACAAAGTTGTAAGGGAGCTCTTCTAGAACAAAACCAAACAAAAAAGTAGTTTATCTGTATACAATCCAAAAATATGGAAATCACTTTTCTTGTTCAAAGATAAATACATTATCAAAAAATGTGATACATTTTAGAGCTTCTATTGCTCAATGGATATGGGAATAAAATAAGAAAACACAAATAACTTCGATTCAGCCTTTAACCCCGAAGCCACATGTTTCCACTAACAAGAAGAAATCCTTGAGAGAAACTTTCAGCAAAAAGAATGTTGACAGAAGAGCTTTGAGTTAGTCCTGGGTCTTTGCTTAATGAGATAAAGAAGCAATCTTGGCAGACAACTTACTGTAAAATTCCAACAGTCTTTCTCTTTTCATGTCATCAAAACTTTAATTTTCTAAATCTGTTTACTGGGAAGGGCAAAGAGTTCTCCTGTAAGACTTAGATGTGTATTTTAAGTTCCAAGAACTGATGAGTTATAACCTTGAAACTGGGAAAGCTTTCACATTTCTTAAAATGTATTGTAGAAAACTGTTTTTTAGTCTCTTAAAGTTGAAAACTGTATTTGCTGAAAGAGGTTGGTTTTGCTTACCATCATGTGGCAATTTATCATTGACCATGACCCAGTGATCTAGCTATGATTAAGTAAATCTGATTTAAAAAGTCTGCAGTTTCTCCAGAATTAGAAATATATATAATGATATTTCCCTTGAAAAACTTATTTTGTAAGTAAAAGCAGTATCTAATAGATTAACTTTAAAACATAATGTAAAATCTTTTTGTGTAAATACAATATACAATTTGTATAAAGATATACAATATACAATTTGTATAAAGATATACAATATTACTCCTGGAATAATAGCATGCATGCACTGCCTTTTTTTCGTTAAGGTAACACATTTCTATGACATTTTTAAGAAGAAATTGTTTTAAAATATCTATGCTAAAAACATCATTACTTTTCTTGGTCCTAACCCTGATCACCAGTCTCTGGAAGCAATCACTTTCACTTTAAATGTGTGTGTGTGTTTGTGTGTGTGTATGTATACATGTATATGTCTTGGGCACTTTCTTCAGAGAATTTCACAGGTGTAAATGGAATAATCAGGACATATCTATATCTCTTTATATATTTCTATAGAGAGAGTGTGTGTGTATACATATGTATATATAGTTACAGTGTATATATAGAGAAAGTTATATAATGTGTGTGTATATATATATATATATAAATATATATATGTATATGCATATAATTTTCCTTATAAAATATCCCTCCTGTAGTCCTCCATCCTCCTGTTTCTACCTGCATTCTTCACTGCCTGGGCTGGCTACTCCTGGTATTTCTCTTTGTCATTGCCCTGATTATGAGAGGCTAAACAAAAGTCATAGATACTTTGTAAAACAATGACCAGTGTAAAAATAAAAAGTAAACAAGTGTCCAAAAGTTCTAATGGGTGAATAATATTCAACTGTATTGTTTTACCATAAATTTTGCAATAAAATCCCTGTCATTATCATTTAAGTTCCTCTTTACTTACTAACATTTCTCTAAACAGTCTTGCATAAAATTGATTTGTGTAATTTTCTAAGCACTGTGGATATGGATATGTTTCCATGGCAAAATTTTAATGTTGGTCGTTCTGGGTGATGTGTTCATAGGCTATTTTATTTTAATGATAAAATTTGTTCAATTCGGGACTCGCAGCCAAGATGGCCAAATAGGAACAGCTCCGGTCTACAGCTCCCAGCATGAACGACGCAGAAGACGGGTGATTTCTGCATTTCCATCTGAGGTACCAGGTTCATCTCACTAGGGAGTGCCAGACAGTGGGTGCAGGACAGTGGGTGCAGCGCACCGTGCACGAGCCGAAGCAGGGCGAGGCATTGCCTCACTCGGGAAGCACAAGGGGTCAGGGAGTTCCCTTTCCTAGTCAAAGAAAGGGGTGACAGAAGGCATCTGGAAAATCGGGTCACTCCCACCCTAATACTGTGCTTTTCCGACAGGCTTAAAAAGCGGTGCACCAGGAGATTATATCCCGCACCTGGCTCGGAGGGTCCTACGCCCACGGAGTCTCGCTGGTTGCTAGCACAGCAGTCTGAGATCAAACTGCAAGGTGGCAGGGAGGCTGGGGGAGGGGCGCCTGCCATTGCCCAGGCTTGCTTAGGTAAACAAAGCAGCCAGGAAGCTGGAACTGGGTGGAGCCCACCACAGCTCAAGGAGGCCTGCCTGCCTCTGTAGGCTCCACCTCTGGGGGCAGGGCACAGACAAACTAAAAGACAGCAGTAACCTCTGCAGACTTAAATGTCCCTGTCTGACAGCTTTGAAGAGAGCAGTGGCTCTCCCAGCATGCAGCTGGAGATTTGAGAATGGGCAGACTGCCTCCTCAAGTGGGTCCCTGACCCCTGACCTCCGAGCAGCCTAACTGGGAGGCACCCCCCAGTAGGGGCAGACTGACACCTCACACGGCCGGGTACTCCTCTGAGACAAAACTTCCAGAGGAATGATCAGACAGCAGCATTCGCGGTTCACGAAAATCCTCTGCTCTGCAGCCACCACTACTGATACCCAGGCAAACAGGGTCTGGAGTGGACCTCTAGCAAACTCCAACAGGCCTGCAGCTGAGGGTCCTGTCTGTTAGAAGGAAAACTAACAAACATAAAGGACATCCACACCAAAAACCCATCTGTACATCACCATCATCAAAGACCAAAAGTAGATAAAACCACAAAGATGGGGAAAAAACAGAGCAGAAAAACTGGAAACTCTGAAAAGCAGAGCGCCTCTCCTCCTCCAAAGGCACGCAGTTCCTCACCAGCAACGGAACAAAGCTGGACGGAGAATGACTTTGACGAGTTGAGAGAATAAGGCTTCAGATGATCAAACTACTCCGAGCTACAGGAGGAAATTCCAACCAAAGGCAAAGAAGTTAAAAACTTTGAAAAAAATTTAGACAAAAGTATAACTAGAATAACCAATACAGAGAAGTGCTTAAAGGAGCTGATGGAGCTGAAAGCCAAGGCTCGAGAACTACGTGAAGAATGCAGAAGCCTCAGGAGCCAATGCGATCAACCGGAAGAAAGGGTATCAGTGATGGAAGATGAAATAAATGAAATGAAGCGAGAAGGGAAGTTTAGAGAAAAAAGAATAAAAAGAAACGAACAAAGCCTCCAAGAAATATGGGACTATGTGAAAAGACCAAATCTACGTCTGACTGGTGTACCTGACAGTGATGGGGAGAATGGAACCAAGTTGGAAAACACTCTGCAGGATATTATCCAGGAGAACTTCCCCAATCTAGCAAGGCAGGCCAACATTCAGATTCAGGAAATACAGAGAACGCCACAAAGATACTCCTCGAGAAGAGCAACTCCAAGACACATAATTGTCAATTCACCAAAGTTGAAATGAAGGAAAAAATGTTAAGGGCAGCCAGAGAGAAAGGTCGGGTTACCCTCAAAGGGAAGCCCATCAGACTAACAGCGGATCTCTCGGCAGAAACTCTACAAGCCAGAAGAGAGTGGGGGCCAATATGCAACATTCATAAAGAAAAGAATTTTCAACCCAGAATTTCATATCCAGCCAAACTAAGATTCATAAGTGAAGGAGAAATAAAATCCTTTACAGACAAGCAAATGCTGAGAGATTTTGTCACCACCAGGCCTGCCCTAAAAGAGCTCCTGAAGGAAGCACTAAACATGGAAAGGAACAACTGGTACCAGCCACTGCAAAATCATACCAAATTGTAAAGACCATCGATGCTAGGAAGAAACTGCATCAACTAACGAACAAAATAACCAGCTAACATAATGACAGGATGAAATTCACGCATAACAATATTAACTTTAAATGTAAATGGACTAAATTCTCCAATTAAAAGACACAGACTGGCAAATTGGATAAAGAGTCAAGACTTATCAGTGTGCTGTATTCAGGAAACCCATCTCACATGCAGAGACACACATAGGCTCAAAATAAAAGGATGGAGGAAGATCTACCAAGCAAATGGAAAACAAAAAAAGGCAGGGTTTGCAATCCTAGTCTCTGATAAAACAGACTTTAAACCAACAAAGATCAAAAGAGACAAAGAAGGCCATTACATAATGGTAAAGGGATTAATTCAACAAGAAGAGCTAACTATCCTAAATATATATGCACCCAATACAGGAGCACCCAGATTCATAAAGCAAGTCCTGAGTGACCTACAAAGAGACATAGACTCCCACACAATAATAATGGGAGACTTTAACACCCCACTGTCAACATCAGACAGATCAACGAGACAGAAAGTTAACAAGGATACCCAGGAATTGAACTCAGCTCTGCACCAAGTGGACCTAATAGACATCTACAGAACTCTCCACCCCAAATCAACAGAATATACATTCTTTTCAGCACCACACCACACCTATTCCAAAATTGACCACATAGTTGGAAGTAAAGCTCTCCTCAGCAAATGTAAAAGAACAGAAATTATAACAAACTGTCTCTCAGACCACAGTGCAATCAAACCAGAAATCAGGATTAAGAAACTCACTCAAAACCGCTCAACTACATGGAAACTGAACAACCTGCTCCTGAATGACTACTGGGTACATAACGAAATGAAGGCAGAAATAAAGATGTTCTTTGAAACCAACGAGAACAAAGACACAACATACCAGAATCTCTGGGACGCATTCAAAGCAGTGTGTAGAGGGAAATTTATAGCACTAAATGCCCACAAAAGAAAGCAGAAAAGATCCAAAACTGACACCCTAACATCACAGTTAAAAGAACTAGAAAAGCAAGAGCAAACACATTCAAAAGCTAGCAGAAGGCAAGAAATAACTAAAATCAGAGCAGAACTGAAGGAAATAGAGACACAAAAAACCCTTCAAAAAATTAATGAATCCAGGAACTGGTTTTTTGAAAGGATCAACAAAATTGATAGACCGCTAGCAAGACTAATAAAGAAAAAAAGAGAGAAGAATCAAATAGACACAATAAAAAATGATAAAGGGGATATCACCACCGATCCCACAGAAATACAAACTACCATCAGAGAATACTACAAACACCTCTACGCAAATAAACTAGAAAATCTAGAAGAAATGGATACATTCCTTGACACATACACCCTCCCAAGACTAATCCAGGAAGAAGTTGAATCTCCGAATAGACCAATAACAGGCTCTGAAATTGTGGCAATAATCAATAGCTTACCAACCAAAAAGAGTCCAGGACCAGATGGATTCACAGCCGAATTCTACCAGAGGTACAAGGAGGAACTGGTACCATTCCTTCTGAAACTATTCCAATCAATAGAAAAAGAGGGAATCCTCCCTAACTCATTTTATGAGGCCAGCATCATCCTGATACCAAAGCCTGGCAGAGACACAACCAAAAAAGAGAATTTTAGACCAATATCCTTGATGAACACTGATGCAAAAATCCTCAAAAAAATATTGGCAAACTGAATCCAGCAGCACATCAAACAGCTTATCACCTTGATCAAGTGGGCTTCATCCCTGGGATGCAAGGCTGGTTCAATATATGCAAATCAATAAATGTAATCCAGCATATAAACAGAACCAAAGACAAAAACCACATGATTATCTCAATAGATGCAGAAAAGGCCTTTGACAAAATTCAACAACCCTTCATGCTAAAAACTCTCAATAAATTAGGTATTGATGGGATGTATGGCAAAATAATAAGAGCTATCTATGACAAACCCACAGCCAATATCATACTGAATGGGCAGAAACTGGAAGCACTCCCTTTGAAAACTGGCACAAGACAGGGATGCCCTCTCTCACCACTCCTATTCAACATAGTGTTGGAAGTTCTGGCCAGGGCAATTAGGCAGGAGAAGGAAATAAAGGGTATTCAATTAGGAAAAGAGGAAGTCAAATTGTCCCTGCTTGCAGATGACATGATAGTATATCTGGAAAACCCCATTGTCTCAGCCCAAAATCTCCTTAAGCTGATAAGCAACTTCAGCAAAGTCTCAGGATACAAAATCAATGCACAAAAATCACAAGCATTCTTATACACCAATAACAGACAAACAGAGAGCCAAATCATGTGTGAACTCCCATTCACAATTGCTTCAAAGAAAAAAAAATACCTAGGAATCCAACTCACAAGGGATGTGAAGGACCTCTTCAAGGAGAACTACAAACCACTTCTCAATGAAATAAAACAGGATACAAAGAAATGGAAGAACATTCCATGCTCATGGGTAGGAAGAATCAATATCGTGAAAATGGCCATACTGCCCAAGGTAATTTATAGATTCAATGCCATCCCCATCAAGCTATCAATGACTTTCTTCACAGAATTGGAAAAAACTACTTTAAAGTTCATATGGCACCAAAAAAGAGCCCGCATCGCCAAGTCAATCCTAAGCCAAAAGAACAAAGCTGGAGGCATCACGCTACCTGACTTCAAAGTATACTATAAGGCTACAGTAACCAAAACAGCATGGTACTGGTACCAAAATAGAGATATAGATCAATGGAACAGAACAGAGCCCTCAGAAATAATGTCGCATATCTACAACTATCTGATCTTTGACAAACCGGAGAAAAACAGGCAATGGGGAAAGGATTCCCTATTTAATAAATGGTGCTGGGAAAACTGGCTAGCCATACGTAGAAAGCTGAAACTGGAACCCTTCCTTATACCTTATACAAAAATTAATTCAGGATGGATTAAAGACTTAAATGTTAGACCTAAAACCATAAAAACCCTAGAAGAAAACCTAGGCATTACCATTCAGGACATAGGCATGGGCAAGGACTTCATGTCTAAAACACCAAAAGCAATGGCAACAAAAGCCAAAATTGACAAATGGGATCTAATTAAACTAAAGAGCTTCTGCACAGCAAAAGAAACTACCATCAGAGTGAACAGGCAACCTACAAAATGGGAGAAAATTTTCGCAACCTACTCATCTGACAAAGGGCTAGTATCCAGAATCTACAATGAACTCAAACAAATTTACAAGAAAAAAAAACAAACAACCCCATCAAAAAGTGGGCAAAGGACATGAACAGACACTTCTCAAAAGAAGACATTTATGCAGCCAAAAAGCACATGAAAAAATGCTCACCATCACTGGCCATTAGAGAAATGCAAATCAAAACCACAATGAGATACCATCTCACACCAGTTAGAATGGCAATCATTAAAAAGTCAGGAAACAACAGGTGCTGGAGAGGATGTGGAGAAATAGGAACACTTTTACACTGTGGGTGGGAGTGTAAACTAGTTCAACCCTTGTGGAAGTCAGTGTGGCGTTTCCTCAGGGATCTAGAACTAGAAATACCATTTGACCCAGCCATCCTATTACTGGGTATATACCCAAAGGACTATAAATCATGCTGCTATAAAGACACATGCACACGTATGTTTATTGCGGCACTATTCACAATAGCAAAGACTTGGAACCAACCCAAATGTCCAACAATGATAGACTGGATGAAGAAAATGTGGCACATATACACCATGGAATACTATGCAGCCATAAGAAATGATGAGTTCATGTCCTTTGTAGGGACATGGATGAAATTGGAAATCATCATTCTCAGTAAACTATTACAAGAACAAAAAACCAAACACCGCATATTCTCACTCATAGATGGGAATTGAACAATGAGAACACATGGACACAGGAAGGGGACCATCACACTCCGTGGCCTGTTGTGGGGTGGGGGGAGGGGGAAGGGGGGAGGGAGAGCAATAGGAGATATACCTAATGCTAAATGACGAGTTAATGGGTGCAGCACACTAGCATGGCACATGTATACATATGTAACTAACCTGCACATTGTGCACATGTACCATAAAACTTTAATAATAATAAAATTAAAAAAAATTGTTCAATTCAAATTTTCAACAATGGACATGTATTCGCATTTATAATTTTGAAAAGAAAAAAATGGACAATGGTATTTTTATACTATTTTAAGCTCCCCAATGGCAGACATTATTTTCACTGAATCATGACCAAGTCAAGTTCAGTGCTGGGAAGAGGGGACTTACATTAAATATATAATCAGTTACTTCCAGGCTCTGCCTCTTATTGGATAAGGATAGACACTGTGACATCAGAGATCACCGTGCTGTGGACCGAACAAATGCCATGTAAACAGTGACCATGACCTTTTATGATCACTGTCTTTCTGGAATTTGACAAACTCAGAGAAAAGTTTAGAGGAATGTATAGACTAAATAGTCCATTTGCTATTGTGACATTGATGATGAAACCTTTAAGAAACTTTTGATTTAAAATGTGTTCATGACCTTGTGTTCATAATTTCACAATTGAGAGGCGTCCCTCCACATTCTTGGAACTGTGCACCCATTGGAACCTTTAAGGTAAATCTAACCAGGGAAGTTTCTCCTCAGAAGAAGATGGCATCCTTGATGTGAACAGCTTTTCCCAAGATCATGAATCAAGACTTCTGTACTATCTTGAGACTCTTATCTTTGAGTAATTTTTCCCCTTGTTTAGGCCTCTATGAACAATAGAAATGAAAAGAGGTCTTCTGTGTGCACTTACTGGGTATACTTTTACTTGTGAAGGATTTGGCAGCCAGACTTATATGTAGATAACCTTATATTTTGATAGATAAAATATGAAAGCCCAATGTAGGTGAGAGACTTAAATGGTACATACGTTGCCTCATAATCAGTCAGAAACAGAACTTTGGTTCACTCCCTTTGACCCACATCATGTGTTAAAGAGAAGGTTGCCAGGAGGCCTTCACTCTTCTAGAAGGGCATCATTTGTTAGGTACTTTTTCCATGGTTTGGAGTAAAAGAAGCAATGATTAGAAATGTATCCCTCATGATAAGCTGTCTAGCAAACTCTACTTTAAAGGCTATAATTACACAGCAGATTTTAAATTCTCTTGTGAAAGTTATGCTAAATAATCGAATTGCTTTAGATTGCTGACTGGCTAAACAGAAGTATCTGTGCAGCTGCTGGCACTTATGTCTTGTGGAGAAAGCATTGGGTATTACAGACACTCAGTTGTAGGGGATTAAGAAGAGGACTACTTAATCAAGCGAGTAAACTCTTTATCTAGCTCATTCTTTGATCTATTTGATTTTAAGTGATTTGGTTTATGGAGACCCTAGTAGGGACCATACTTTCAACTCTTGGTGTTATCCTCCCGATAGTCATAATAGAAGTCTCCCTGGTGTGCTGTATGCTCTCAAAGGTTTTAAATGTTTGCATTCAGACATCTCCAGAATGTCAGGTAGTCTCTCTTCAACAGAAATGACAAGAGCTGAAAGAACTATGCAACCATGGGAAAACCGTAATCTATGAATGAGGTGCTAAGACCGGAAACCCAAAATGATGGTAACTGAGAGTAGCATTAAGGCCCTAAAGTTTGGTCACACTCTCACCTAAATGAGAACCTGACCAAAAAGGGGGAATTCTTAAAACAAAATTACGGGAGGCTATTGTTTGGACTGAGCTCAATCACTAGGCACCAACAGAAGAAACTGTATAAAAATGGAGTCACTTGTGCTAAGTGTGACATAATCAAGCTAAGACTTTAAGGAAACACATAGATCCTAGAACAGACGAGGTTTTGTTTTTCTCCTGCAAACAGGACGTTTCTGTATAAGGAGGTACCATCTACTCAATCCTCATTCCCACCTTGCAAAACCCACTGTTCTACTGTTTTCCAGTGGGTTTCAAGACCAAATAAGTACATTTACGATGGTGATAGTGACATCGATGAATAAAGTTTTGGCCAATCTCTCAAAATTGAGAAAATGACCAAAAGCGGGGAATTGTTAAAGCAAACTAACTGTGGCCTAAGAAGGACTCCTTACTTTTATATCTGAGTCCTTGTGGATGAACCATAACCTAACTTAATAGGTAGACAAGATTGAAAACCTGACTTAGAAGTATGGGATTGTCACAATATCTGAATCTTGGCAAATCCCAGCAGCCATACTTCAACCAGTCATAGACTGCTGAGTGTTTAAACTGTGTTCAAAGAGGGCAAACACTGAACTGTAACCAATCCAGTTGTTTCCATACCTCACTTCCAATTTCTGTAGGCCACTTCCCTTTTATGTCTATAGATCTTCTTCCACCATGTGGCTGTACTAGAGTCTCTGTGAACCTGCTGTGATTCTGGAGGCTGCCTGATTCACGAAGGTTTCATTGCTTCACTAAACTCCTTTAAATTTAAAATAAAATAAAATGTGTTCATGAACATGAGTTCTAGGTTGGTTTTGGCAGTTTTGTAAGATCAATAAAAGCTTCATTTAATTTATTTGAAAACAGTGTTTAGGAATACCCCAAAGTATGTTCTCACATCGAGGGATTTAGAAAGTGAAAACCGGCCGGGCGCAGTGGCTCATGCCTGTAATCTCAGCACTTTGGGAGGCCAAGGCAGGCGGATCACGAGGTCAGGAGATTAAGACCATCCTGGCTAACACAGTGAAACCCCGTCTCTACTTAAAAAAAATAGAAAAACTTAGCAGGGTGTGGTGGCACGCGCCTGTAGTCCCGGGAGGTGGAGTTTGCAGTGAGCTGTGATCACGCCACTGCACTCCAGCCTGGGTGACAGGGTGAGACTCTTGTCTCAAAAAAAAAAATAAAAATAAAATAAAATAAAATAAATAAAAGCGAAAACCGACTGTTAATACTTGTACACTTTCAAAATGATGAATATTTTAAAGTTTAAGTTGTTCTCACTAGAGTTAACTCCAGGATTTCTTTATTTCTGTTAAGAAGAGGAAACCTTGCTATGGGTAGTGCTTTTCTCACAAGCTTTTCTCACAGGGGCACTTGCCTGAAATTATGTGGTTTATTTTGGTTTATAAAAAGTGGCTGGGACAAGGCTGCAAAGGTTGGTAGTAAAGTACCTGACACCTGCCCTGGAAACTTCCATTGGCTCTTGCTCTTACTTTTATTTTATTAAAAAAATGCACGTGTAAGAGAGATGGTGTTGAATATGTTGTAATTATAAATAATGCCAACCTAAAATAATTAAAAAGGGTTAGAATCTAGTTTAATAAGAGTTTATTCAAGCACAAAGTTTGAAGACAGCCACTCAGGAAGCACAGGTTACAAAGACTAAAAGTCAGTGTTCTGATGGTAGAAGCTTAGGGTTGTTTATAGAGACAAAGTTTAAGGAAGCTAAAAAGAATTTCAACATCTTTCTGTACAAGGCTGGATGCATATTTACAATGATCTGATTAGTTGAGACTGTATTTTTCTTTCAGGAAGGGTATATTTAACATTCCACCCTGAAGATGTAACAGTCATGAGGTCGTTTGAACCATCTGGTCTGAGTTAGGTACATGACAATAAAAGAGGTAGTTAATCTATAACAAAGATAAGTGAATTGAAGGGGTAAGATGTCTGATCTCTAGTCTCCCCTAGTCATTTACAGAGCAAGAACAATGAAGAAGAGAGTAAATCTATAATCTAAGAAGCTGAACTTGCACACATACTATGTGACTCATCTCCAAAGCTTAACTTTCCCCTTGGCGTAATAAATTAAGAGCGTCCTAAAATTACAATCCACAGATAAGTATAGATACAGCGCTTTATATGTGTGTGTTTATATATATCTCTCTGTATATTTACATATATAATATATAAGTAGTAGAAGTAGAAGTAGTTTTATATATTATATATACATATATGTGTGTACATGTATACATGTGTGTATACATATGTACACATATATATGTATATATAATATATAAAACTACTTCTTTTGTACATTGTATTCTGCTTCTAAGAATGACATCACTGCAAAAACAAATCCCTCCACTCCACATCCATGTTACAGTGAAACATTTCTCATTAATGCTCCATCACTTATTAATTTAAATGTTAGATTCTGTTTAGGGTATTATGTTTATAATTTTTATTCTGATTGCCATGTAAAAATATTTCGTTAAAATATTGTAAAGTATTTTTGAAATGTCTTGCTAATCTTATTATTCTGTATATTCCTTATTAGCCCATCAGCTTCTCGAGGGACAAAAAATTACGCATTTCATTTTTATTTTGTGTGCTCAAATCTATTGTCTTATTCATCATTCAACAAATATTTATTGAGCTTACGATATACCAAGCCAAGCATTAGATATTGGTAGTCCCAGAAATCTAACAATCCTGATGAATTGAGTGATTATTGAAAGTGAATTTACAAATTCATCATCCTTCTATCTAAGTTTTAGTGCAGAAAGACATTGTCAATGCAGGCTAGCCTTTACTGTAGGACAAATGGAAACCTGACATTTACAAGAAAATATAATTTCATAATGTATCTAGGAGGAAAAATATTTATCACTGCCAACCCAGGAAAAAATAGAAAACTTAACAAATGCTAGGTATTGACCAAAGAAACACATGATCAACTGTAAATCTACCCCCAAATGAGAAAAAATGCATTTTTTCTTCTACTAGTAGCTCTAAGCAAGCGGCAGTCTACAATGTTTTTTCTTGTTCTATAGTATGTTTCAGAAACTCACAATAGGAGTTCGTTTTGAATTCTTCTGTGTAGCTCATTTTCCATTTGGGGAATCTATTTCTTATCCATTTGTCCACATCTATAACTAGCAAATAGAGAATTCAATATAGCAAATGTGCCTACAGTAAATTCAAAATTGCCTCTCATCCATTTGTGAGCAACACATAAATAATGAAGGCGACATTAAAACTTCGGGTTTTTTTATTTTTACTTCTTTCTCTGAAATATCTTTTCCAGCAAAATAAATGGTTTGAAATAATTATCTATTTAGAAGCACTGCAATAGCTGTGGGAATGTGATTGCCATTTACCTTTCAGGATTTTACGGTTCCCATGAGAAGAAGAAATTTTTTGATTCCTTGATTCTCTTTTCCTTCATTATACTTCATTCTTAACCCATCAGTTTTTTAATTTGCCTGTAATAGATGGGGCTCAGTGTCTCAAGAGCATCCCAATTTTATGGTTATAGAAACCAGACTTAGTAGACAAAATGTTTCCTTTTGAGCAAAGACTTAGTGGTTTTAGCACCTACAAAAAAACTAAAGGAATAAAATGGAAATGCAAGGGAAACCAAAATGCATTAAAGGTTAAATTTTTCAATATTTGTATTTCTTTCTTAACTTGGCACAAATGAGATTTTTTTTCAGTTTTTTACATTTTATTTTTGACTGCTTTGAATAGTGTCGGCTTGCCAAAGTCTCACCGGACTAATGCTTACAGCAGAATTTAACACATTGCCAAACTAACCCTGAGGTGTGGTTTACACTACAGAAAAGAGTGTTTTGGCACAATTGCCAATTTAGAAAGTACGAAAGGAGTGGCAGAACTTATTGCCATAGAGTTAGAATTTTACATCTATACTGCCTATTTTTTAAAATTTAATATTTCATTGATGTCACGAAAAACATTCTCATGCGTCATATTTTGGTCCCTTTCTTTTTTTATTTTTATTATTTATTTATTTATTTTTTGAGATGGAGTCTTGCTCTGTCGCCAGGCTGGAGTGCAGTGGCACGATTTGGGCTCACTGCAACCTCTGCCTCCCGAGTTCTCTTGCCTCAGCCTCCCTAGTAGCTGGGATTACAGTCGCCCGCCACCACGTCCAGCTAATTTTTTGTATTTTAGTAGAGACGGGTTTCACCTTGTTGTCCAGGATGTCTTGATCTCCTGACCTCGTGATCTGCCTGCCTCAGCCTCCCAAAGTGCTAGGATTACAGGCGTGAGCCACCGCACCCAGCCCCTTATTTTTTTAACAGAGTGTTAAAGGTGGAGTGTGGAAGGTCTTAATAAATTATGTGTTTGCTGTGTGTATGTATTACCATATTACACATGCAGTGATAAGAAGCCATTCTCATGATACCTTGTTGGCCAAACTGGGTTGAAATTGAATTTAAGCTCCACAGAGATTGTGACTACACATTAGTGTAGTAAATATATATATATACACACACACACACACACACAATATGGTGTGTATATATATACACACACACTGCACTATATATATATACAGTCGTATACATACAGTTGCTGTATATATAGTTGTTATATATATGTGTGTGTGTGTATATACATATAGAGAGAAAGAGAGAGAAAGAGAGAGAGAGAGAATTGTTATATTATCTTGCTAAATGGGCCACTTTCTAATTATATAATTACCATCTTTGTCTCTTTTTACAGCTTTTGACTTAAATTGTATTTTATCTGGTTTAATTCTAGCTATTCTTGCTCTTTTTTAAAGTTTCTATTTGCATGAGACATCTTTTTCCATTTCTGTACTATAGTTAGGTCCTATTTTTTTAAACCATTCAGCCACTTCTTATCTTTTGGTTGGATAATTTAATTAATTTACATTCAAAGTAATTATTGATAGGTAATAACTTACTACACTATATTGTTCATTGTTTCCCAGTTGTTTTGAAGATTCTTTCTTCTTCTCTTACTGTCTTCTTTGTGGTGATTTTCTCTAGTGGTACAATTATTTTGTTGCTTTTTATTTTTAGTGTATCAAAGTTATTTGCTTTGTGATTATCATGAAGCTTGCAAAAGTCATCTTACAGTTATAACAGGATATTTTAAGCAAAAGCAACTTATCTTTGATCACAAAAAAGCAACTCTACACTTTAACTCTACTTCCCCTCTACATTTCAATTTTGGATGTCACAACTTTTATCATTTTATATTGGATAATCCTTAACAAATTACTGTAGTGATTACTAATTTAATAGTTTTGTCTTTTAACCTTCATACTAATGATATACATGATTTACACACCGCCATTATAGTATGAAGATAGTCTGAACTTTACTTTGTATTTTCTCTTACCAATGAGTTTTATTCTTTCAGATGTTTTTGTGTTAATCTTAGTGTCCTGTTCTTTCAACTCATAGAACCCTCTTTATCATTTCTTCTAACACAGGTTTGGTGGTGATGAGCTCCCTCAGCTTTGTTTGTCTAGAAAAGTCTTTGTCTCTTTTTTATTTCTGAAGAACAGTTTTCCTGGGTATGCTACTCTTGGTTGACAGATTTTTTTTTTTCTTCAGCATGTTGGATATATTATCCAAATCTTTTCTGGACTGTAAGATTTCTGCTGAGTGTGTCTCCAGTTAGGTATATTGGAACTTCCTTATATGTTATTTGCTGCTTTAGTCTTGCTGTTTTCAGAATTCTCTCTTTGTCTTCAATTTTTGATAGTTTGATTTTAATATGTCTTGGGGTATTCTTATTTGTATAGAATCTGAATGAAGAACTTTGACCTTCCTGTACCTGGATATTTTTATCTTTTCCTGAGTTTGGAAATGTTTCTGCTCCTATTTCTTTAAATATGCTTTCTATTCTTTTAATATTTCTCTTTCCTTTATTTAACTTCTATAACTCATATAGTTGCTTTTTTGATGTTGTCTCATAATTCTTATGCACACTGGAATGGAATGGAAAAATACCTTCAAAATTCTATGAAGAAAAAATATAGATGTAAAATTCTCTACATAACTAAACTATCAGTGAAACAGTGGGTTAGATGAACAAATTTATATATGCTGGAGCCTAAAAGAAAAACCAACTTTACTCACTTACTCTCCCTCAGCAGAGAGAATAAGATATGTGAAGGCGCTCATCAAATTCAAATAAATGACATTACAGTTATTGAAATATATAATACATGGGAGAATGAAAGAAGATTGGGAAAAAGGAGTGAGGTACAAGGACTATTACAAGAATGTGGCTGAAAAACAGAAAATGTTTCAAAATGATTGTAACTGTTATTACAAGCTATATATCAGTTATTATTAAAAACAAAAAACTTGCATAAATTAAAATAAAAAGGCCGACACTGCAGTGGGAGGAAAAGGACAATATATATGCAAGAATAACTTACTGAAAAGACACAGGAGTGGCCAATGAAAAACAAAGAATGCATGTTCAACCTATCATTAAGAAGAATAATAAATGAAATACCACAATTACCTATTGACTGAGAATCAAATTTATGTATAATGCCAATGTTAGTGTGTTTTGGAGAACTGCCAATGCCAATGTTAATTGTTATAATCTTTCCAAAATATCGACATTGAATGTTGCCTGCATCAACACTAAAATAGGCTTAATCTTTGACCTTACTATTCCACCTTTTATTATAAATGATTGGGAATAGCTCTTAAAGGACATTGAAATGTTTCTATTACAACATAATTTATCACAGTAAAAATTTAGAAATAGTGTTCATTTTTACATGTTGGCTTAAAACTGTAAAATAAAATAGAGTGTACAATTAACCCTTGAACAATGTGAGAATTAAGGGCACAGACCCCCCTGTCATGCAGTCAAATACCCATATATAATTTTTGACTCCTAAAAAACATTATAGCCTACTGTTGACCATAAGCCTTACTTGTAATATAGTCAATTAACGTGTATTTTATGTTTATGTATTATATACTGTATTCTTACTTTAAAGAGAAAGGAAAATGGTATTAAGAAACTCATAAGAAAGAGAAAATGAGGCCGAGGCAGGTGGTTCACCTGAGATCAGGAATTCGAGACCAGCCTGGCCAACATGGCGAAATCCTGTCTCTACTAAAAATACAAAAATTAGCCGGGTGTGGTGGCATGCACCTGGAATCCTAGCTACTAGGCAGGCTGAGGCAAGAGAATCGCTTAAACCTGGGAGACAGAGGTTGCAGTGAGCTGAGATCATGCCACTGCACTCCAGCCTGGGTGACAGAGTAAGATTCTGTCTCAAACAAACAAAGCAAACAAAGAAAAAGAGAGATAGAGAAAATACATTTACAGTACTGTACTGTATTTATCAATACTCTAAGTTACATCATCTGTTTACAAGGTGAATTGTTGGTCTGAAGTAGTAGCAACCGCAGCTGCAGGCTTCTGTCTATGGTACATATCATGCCATTTAGCTTTTACTGGTGATGTCATGACTTTTCTCTGCTTCTTGGGAGCACTTCGAGCATCACTAGTGGCACCTTGTATGGGCCCCATGGTGTCATTCAAGATTTACAGTATTGCACTAAAAATGATAAGAACTACAGGAGAACTGAGAGAAATTACTTACTACTGCAATACTCAATTACTGGAGAGATAAACTGCTTACATGAAGATGATTAGCATAACACAGCATTTTAGGAGGATACTGACAACACCAGCTCACCGCAATAGCAGTAACTATAAAGTTATTACTATAGTTTAATTTGTACTATAGTTAATTTTATAGTTATGATTTAATACTGCACCTTTACTTTTGTTTATATTTCTCTCAACTGCAAATGGTACCATATATGGTCTGCGTTTCTGTGTGTAAGTTTTGATAAATTTGAACTTTTCATACTAGATTTGTGTATCATTTATGGTAGTAAATTATGAAATAGACGAGTATCAACATATATTTTATATGTTCCTGACATGGCTATTTTTTTCTTAATTTTTCTATATTTCTAGGCTGTGAGATTCATCTACAGGTTTTTTTTTTTCAAATTGTTGCAAATCTCCAATCATTTTTCAATACGTTTATTTTTAAAAATCCATGTATAATAGACCTGTGAAGTTCAAACCCATGTTGTTCAAAGATCAACTGTAGATTTTTTTAATTTTACAGTTATCAAGCACATTTATTATGTGTTGCATATGGTATATTGAATCTTAATTCTGTGTTATATCTTAATTTTTATGAAACAACCTACTGTAGTTATAAATATGATAATAAATTAGAAAATATTCATAAAGGAATAATGTTAAGTGGATAAGGTAAAATACTAAGCAGCAACGATGACATTCCTAAACTTGCAAGATTATTAATGTAGATATACATATGCATAGAAAAATCTTAAGGCTGCCCAGGCGCGGGGGCTCACACCTGTAATGCCAGCACTTTGGGAGGCCAAGGTGGGCGGATCACGAGGTCATGAGATGGAGACCATCCTGGCTAACACGGTGAAACCCCATCTCTACTAAAAATATAAAAAAATTGCTGGACGTGGTGGAGGGCGCCTGTAGTCCCAGCTACTCGGGAGGCTGAGGCAGGAGAATGGCGTGAACCCAGGAGGCGGAGCTTGCAGTGAGCCGAGATCGTGCCACTGCACTCTGGCCTGGGCGACAGTGCGAGACTCCGTCTAAAAAAAAAAAAGAAAAAGAAAAAGAAAAATCGTAAGGCTATGCATAGCAATTTAATGGTAGTTGTCTCAAGGTGGTGGGGTTATGAATGATTTATGTTCTGTCTTTTCTGTTGGCATTTCTTTTTATATTTTTCTTCTGTGAACACCTGTTGCTATAAAAATACTCAGTGCACGTGATAATAAACATATAAAGCATTCTGTATAGTCTCACTGACATTTGAAAAAAGCCTCTAGGTTTTATTTCTCATTGTGATCATTGCAATGGGCATCAGAACTGCATGTGTAAAAACGATCTTGTCTGTTCTTGTTATCGTCTGCACCCTTTATCTAACATCTGTATCACTGCTTAGCTGGAAGCATCTCCTTTAGCACGGCACTGCCATGTTTTATGTTCTAATGTAAACTTGTGTGACTTAGCTATGGTTAAATAGAAATAACTGGTGTTTCAGCTTGATTTTTGTAACAGATTCTGAGGCACGTTTTTCTGTCTCAACCCGGGAATATCCATTTCTGCACCAGGACAAATTAATTACAATACTGATGTTTAAGTATTTATGGTTAGTCAAATCTTGAATCAAATCGTAACAGAAATGGAAAACAGAAAATAAGAAGAGAGAGGAGAAGGGGAGGAGGAAAAAGGCGCAGCAGCAACAGCTATTTTGAGAGATTGGGAAGGATCTTAATTGAAAAAAATTGTTCTTTCCCCAGGCTTGGTCGGCGAATCACTTAATCCACTCATCCCTTCGTCTTTTCATAGAATTAGGAAAGATATTTAGCTCAGGCCCTAGAATCAGACTAATGCTGACTCGTTCTTGTCTCGAAGGGCTTTCTACAATTTACTGCATTCAGCTCCATACTATTAATAATAATGTTGCTGCTTTTCTTAAAATCCATGTTGGAAATGTAAGAAAATGTAAAGAAAATTTTATTTCATATTTCATTTTACATCTCCAAAGCCCCCACCATCTCCAGAAAGAGTACAATGATCATTTTCTTTGTCTCTTTATATTTGAACAATCATCACAACACTAAAACTACTTCGCCGTTGTGCTAAGACCTCCTCCTGCCTAGATTGCCACCATGGCCCACCTTCTCCAATTTAGAAGAGGGAAAGGTGGGGCCAAAGAGAGACCTTTGGTGGGTTTTCTACCAATAAGTTTAAAAAGATACTGAAAAGGAGACCCTTCCTTCCTTCCCTTCCTTCCTTCCTTCCTTCCTTTCCTTCTTTCCTTCCTTCCTTCCTTCTTTCCTTCCTTCCTTCCTTTCTTCTTTCCTTCCTTCCTCCCTTTTCTTTCTCTCTCTCTCTCTGCTTCAAATACACTTTTTATTCCCCTGTAGAATCAGAAAATATCTGACTGCTTGAGTCTAAATCTACCAGACTAAGGAAGCCTCGGAAAAGCTTTTACTATTTCCTCTTCCCTGTCTGTGATTTTTAAAAGCATAGAAATAAAAGTTCATTGTTTTTATGTTATTTGTCTAAATATATTTCCATGATATATTTTAATAAAACATTCCTTAGGTATTTATAGTTATAGGATTGATGGAACAGATATAATATAAAGTAAGTAAAAAATCTTCATTTCAAATAAAGTATCCAAAACAAAAATTTGATTATTGAGCTTTAATAACATTTTTTAGGTTTAGGGGAGGCTTAATTTGGGGAACTGGCTATTAGAAAAAAATTATTTGAAATTGCAATAGATAATGAGCTTTAAAGGTAAAAGGTTGGTGCAAAAGTAATTACAGTTTCAGTCTGTGAATTTAAAATCATGTATAACTAGGCTCAAACACATCTTTATTAATTAAAATAGGAACCATTACAATCAACACATTATTGCCAAGGAGAAGTAAATTTATTCCTGTAGCGTAAAAAGCCATGCTTCAGGATTTGATGAATTCTTGGAAAGCATTTTCTACATCTTGCTGGTTCCAACAACTCAAAAACTGCAATTACTTTTTCACTCACCTAATATTAGATTAGAAAAAGATCATTATTTAAAACTGATAATTGAAAAAGAGCAAATACAAGCATTCACAAAATCCCCCCAAAAAAGCATCTTTATAGATATTTTTGTTCCTGTAGATTTAGACTGCATCTTCTTTCATTGTCATTTCTTATGACAATTATTTGCAATAAAAATATCAATTTATTTATTTATTTATTTATTTTTGAGATGGAGTTTCACTGTTGTTGCCCAGGTTGGAGTGCAGTGGCGTGACCTCAGCTCCCTGTAACTTCTGCCTCCCATGTACGAGTAGTTCTCTTGCCTCAGCCTCCTGAGTATCTGGGATTACAGGCACCTGCCATCACACCTGGCTAAAAATATGAAGTTAGAAAAAAAAAAGTTTGGTCATTCTGCTAAAGTGGTGGTGTACATTTTGAGTTGTCATTTTTTAAATTTTTTTCTCCAGCTTCTCAAATTGTCATTAGCAATGTCATATAAATTTGTAAATTTTTAAGATAATTGACAGCTTTGTGAACACCCCTATCAAGTTCCTTCTCTCTTTCTCTCTCTCTCTCTCTCTCTCTCTCTATATATATATATATATATACATACACACACACACACATATATCTTTCTATATATATTGTATATATATACTATATATATACATATATATCTTTCTAGATATATATAGTGTGTATGTATGTGTGTGTGTGTGTATGTGTGTGTGTGTGTATATATATATATATATACATATATATATATATATATATATGTATATATCTTTCAAAATATTTCAAAGCCAGGCATGGTAGCTCATGCCTGTAATTCAAACATGTTGGGAGGCTGAGGCAGGATGATTGCTTGAGATCAGGGGTTTGAGACCAGCCTGGGCAACATAGCAAAACCCTGTTGCTACAAAAAATAAAATAAAATTAGCTGGACATGGTGGGGTGCCTGTAGTCCCAGCTACTCAGGAGACTGAGGTGGGAGGATCACTTGAACCTATTACTTCGAGGCTACAGCGAGCTATAATGGTGCCATTGCCCTGCAGCATGAATGACAAAGGCAGAATTTGTTTCAGCAACAACAACAACAAAATTTCAAGTTTTATAATATTTGATGTAGCCCTTAATTTTAAATGCTTTTTAAAATTTATAACAAATTTTTCTCACCTTATAATAGCATATAAAAAGTTTTATGTTACCTTTGTTGATGTTAGTGTATTTTGTCAAATGAGCAAAAGGTACATTTGAATGAAGGTATTCATATAAGTTACTACTTGGATTATCAAAAAAAGCCAAGCAGCTATTCTGTTTGCTATTTATCTTTTTCTCTTAATAAATCCCTTGTTTGGTATTATTTAAAACAAGGGCCAAATATTTTATGCCAATTTCTTTGCATATTGCATGTGATATTTTCTCCTATGACTCTGGGGTTGGATAGTGGTGACACAGACCATGTTGCCTGCAAAGCCTAAAATAAAGACAGAAAAATTATTTTTGACAGAAAATTAAGTTCATGATGTAAGATAATTTTGTGGTAATTTTTGTTATAATTTGTTCTCAATGTTAAAATAATTTCTGTTAATTTTATTGCTTATCTTTATTTGTTGTGTCATTTTCTATTAATTTTGCATCTAAATATTATCTCTATACTTTTATAAATTAATGTTAGTCTGACAAAAAAAATAGCCTTCATTTAGGGCCTAATCAGGAGTTTGAACTTCTCAATTATATTTAAATCAAACATTCCAAAACATATGTTCACATTACAGTATATAAGTGCTTTATAAAATGTATTTCCTTCAGTAAAACAATAAATTTTGAGTATATAATTGTGTATGATACATTATGAAGTAGAAGACAACTCTTTGGATGAGGTGTTGAATTAAATACATTCCTTGCAATTTTATACATCTGATTGTTGCAAGCATTCTCCACAAATTAACTTGTGGTGGTGTACATGACAAAGCTTTTTTCTTTACAACACAGGACACAGATGTTGGGCCTCATATGACTTGTTCCTATCATTATGCAACCTCACACTGTGTAATTCATGTAGCAATGCTGTATAGACTGGCAGGTAGACAGAGGAGCAATTTCAACATTACTAGGCTTTAGGGGAAGTGTGATGGAGAGGAAGCAGGAATAATACAATGGTTATAGCCAGTCATGCTTAACTATATTACTTTTGCAAGTTTTATGAAAATACCTGCTATGAGAAGACACTGCAAGAGCTCCTCCCAGGGCCTTTAACCGACTGTGTAAGTGAGGGGCTTAAGCTTCATTTTCTTCATAATAGGTTCATCTTTGCATATCAGGATACATAGAAGGAAAGATAAAACAATTTTGAAAGCCAATCAAAGCATATATAAAGCCTAGATGGGCACATATTTTTTATTGTGACATTAAGATAGATAGGATAAATGAAATTGTCAAGATACATGCAAGCTTCTGCCCCAGGGCATTTCCCCTATACGGAAACAGACCTCAGATCGCACTCTTCCAGCAGTCTTATCCCCTGATGTCTCTGAACTACATCGGTACTTCAGATTCTATTTTTATAGTTCTTTGCTTTTGCCACAACCTCTCGTCTGATTTCTCCACGTTGCCTGGTAAACCTCTATGGTCCTGAGGTTTTGACTCTGATCTGAAAACTGTCCCTCTTCTGCAGGTCTTTTTTCCATCACCATCCTTTTCAAAGCTGCTAATTTAGACAAATTTCCTGAGGTTCTAGTGGAAGTGGGGCTACAAATACCCTTGCATTATTTAGTCATAATTATTTCTGGGAAGAAATCTAAATTTCTTGTTTTGTTTTCTCAGTTATATCACAATGCATTTGTTGAATTGAAATTGTGATCTTCAAGCCTCGTTTTCCTAATTTGTCCCTTAAAGAAGGGAATAGGCCAATGTTCTCATGGTGCCATTGCTTTGATGTTGAGGCACTTACAGACCTGATCCAGGACTCTTAACATTTCTCCCTGTTCAAGGTCCATTATGTGGTGCAGAGCCATGGTGAAGGATATGAGCACAAAGCTCTGTGGGTTTTGTTTTCCTTTGTTTTTGTCTTTTTAATCTGTAAATTGATTCTTGCTAATCACTTGAGGAAAACAATGACATAATAATACTATGTGCGAAGAATTTAGCAAAAATTGGTGCTCATCTGTCAGGAAATGATTAATATGATTCCAAGGATGAAATGTGGAAGCATTAACAAGAGAAACAATAACAACAGTGATTTTTGCCTTAGGTATCAGAGGCCCCAAAATACAAATTTCCTAAATCCATTAGAAAAATAATTGCCTTAATATGAAAACATGTGCATCTAACAACTTTCTGAAATAATTATATTATCTGAAAGTACATGTAGATGGTCTGGCTTTCTTTAAAGATGTTTATAAAAATTCAAGATAAATGGTTAATAACCTTCTATCCTTGGGAATCCTAATTTTGCCATTCTTTATGCAGACAATTACTTTTCTTTCTTTTTTTATAATACTTTAAGTTCTGGGATACATGTGCAGGTTTGTTACATAGGTATACACATGCCACAGTGGTTTGCTGCACCCATTAACCCGCCATCTACATTAGGTATTTCTCCTAATGCTCTCCCTCCCCTTGCCCCCCACCACCAACAGGCACCGATGTGTGATCTTCCCCTCTCTGTGTCCGTGTGTTCTCAGTGTTTAATTACCACTTATGAGTGAGAATATGTGGTGTTTGTTTTCTGTTCTTGTGTTAATTTGCTGAGAATGATGGTTTCCACCTTTATCCATGTCCCTGCAAAGGACATGAACTCATTCTTTTCTATGGCTGCATAATATTCCATGGTGTATATGTGCCACATTTTTTTTAGCCAGTCTATCATTGATGGGGATCTGGGCTGGTTCCAAGTCTTTGCTATTGTGGATAGTGCTGCAATAAACAGACTTGTGCATGTGTCTTTAGAGTAGAATGATTTATAATCCTTTGGGCATATACCTAGTCATGGGATTGCTGGGTCTAATGGTATTTCTGGTTCTAGATCCCTGAATAATTGCCACACTGTCTTCCACAATGGTTGAACTAATTTACGCTCCCACCAACAGTGTAAAAGTGTTCCTATTTCTCCACATCCTCTCCAGCATCTGTTGTTTCCTGACTTTTTAATAATCACCTTTCTAACTGGCGTGAGATGGTATCTCATCGTGGTTTTGATTTGCATTTCTGTAATGACCAATGATTATGAGCTTTTTTTCATATGTTTGTTGGCCACATAAATGTCCGCTTTTGAGAAGTGTCTGTTCATATCCTTCACCCACTTTTTGATGGGCTTGTTTGATTTTTTCTTGTAAATTTGCTTAAGTTCCTTGTAGATTCTGGATATTAGCCCTTTGTCAGATGGATAGATTGCAGAATTTTTCTCCCATTCTACAGGTTGCCTGTTCACTCTGATGATAGTTTATTTTGCTGTGCACAAGCTCTTTAGTTTAATTAGATCCCATTTGTCAATTTTGGCTTTTGTGGCCATTGCTTTTGGTGTTTTACATATGAAGAGTTTGCCCATGTCTATATTCTGAATGGTATTGCCTAGGTTTTCTTCTAGGGTTTTTATGGTTTTAGGTCTTATATTTAAGTCCTTAATCCATCTTGAGTTAATTTTTGTATAAGGTGTGAGGAAGGGGTCCAGTTTCGGTTTTCTGCATATGGCTAGCTAATTTTCCCAACACCATTTATTAAATAGGGAATGCTTTCCCCATTGCTTGTTTTTATCAGGTTTGTCAAAGATCCGATGGTTGTAGATGTGTGACATTATTTCTGAGGCATCTGTTTGTTCCATTGGTCTATATGTCTGTTTTGTTACCAGTACCATGCTGTTTTGGTTACTGTAGCCTTGTAAGATAATTTGAAGTCAGGTAGTGTGATTTCTCCAGCTTTGTTCTTTTTGCATAGGATTGTCTTGACTATACGGGCTCTTTTTTGTTTCCATATAAAATTTAAAATAGTTTTTCTAATTCTGTGAAGAAAGTCAATGGTAGCTTGATGGGGATATCATTTAATCTGTAAGTTACTTTGGGCAGTATGGCCATTTTCGCGATATTGATTCTTCCTATCCATGAGCATGGAATGTTTTTACATCATCCTGATACCAAAACCTGGCAGAGACATAACAAAAGAAAATTTCAGGCCAGTATCCCTGATGAACATCGACACAAAAATCCTCAATAAAATACTGGCAAACCGAATACAGCAGCACATTAAAAACTTATCCGCCATGATGAAGACAGCTTCATCCCTGGGATGCAAGGCTGGTTCAACATACACAAATCAATAGACATAATCCATCACATAAACAGAACCAATGAGAAAAGCTACATGATAATCTCAATAGATGCTGAAAAGGCCTTCGATAAAATTTAACACCTCTTCATGCTAAAAACTCTCAATAAACTAGGTATTGTTGGAACATATCTCAAAATAATAAGAGCTATTTATGACAGACCCACAGCCAATATCATACTGAATGGGCAAAAGTTGGAAGCATTCCATTTGAAAACTGGCACAAGACAAGTATGCCCTCTCTCACCACTCCTATTCAACAGAGTATTGGAAGTTCTGGCCAGGGCAATCAGGCAAGGAAAGAAATAAAATGTATTCAAAAAGGAAAAGAGGAAGTCAAATTGTCTCTGTTTGCAGATAATATGATTGTATGTTTAGGAAACCCCATCGCCTCAGCCACAAATCTCCTGAAGCTGATAAGCAACTTCGGCGAAGTCTCAGGATATAAAATCAATGTGCAAAAATCACAAGCATTCCTATACACCAATAATAGACAAACAAAGAGCCAAATCATGAGTGAACTCCCATTCACAATTGCTACACAGAAAATAAAATACCTAAGAATACAACTTACAAGGGATGTGAAGGACCTCTTTAAGGAGAACTACAAACCACAGCTCAAGGAAATAAGAAAGGACTTTTCTTACATTTCTAAAGGCACATAAGATCACAGAGACAGAAGATGTCCAGTAGATTTATTTTCATTCCTCTAGTACAAATTTTTTATAGACAGAATCATAGGAATTTCTGAACCTAAAAATATTAATCTTCATGCCACCTATTTAAAGGAAATGCAAGCACATGTTTATTGTAAGTGACAGTCCTCTGAGATGATAGTTGATCTGTGTTCATGGCTTAAGATTATTATATTCAGTGAGAATGAAATTACTTCTATTGAAATCTTGGAAGTAAATGAACAGATCATAGAATATTCTAGCTCTCAAGGCTGGTCTCAGCAAGACAATATCTGGGTAGAAAAAACTTGATGGATAGTCAAGGATATTTTAGATCTGAGTAATCAATAGCAGGTGATGGAGAAAAAGAGCCATATAATAAGTGGTCTTATAAGCATTTTTGCTGCTCAAGAAGTACCAGCCACAAAGAACCAATACTATTTTAAGGATTAAAGTTACCAAACTATAGTAGAATGTATGTGTACTTAGGAATCACATATGTATCATTTAGTGTGTATGTCACTAGTTCTGCAACTTGTAGTTTAAACTAGTTTTCTCATGTTTAACGAGATGATAAAAAAAACTAACTCAGAAGATTGTAGTATAAATAAAAAGCGATGACATCTCGTTTTACATAAATTATTGCATTTGTCATTCATTCAGTAAATGCTAGCTATTTTTACTTTTCTGGAAACTAGGGAAAATAACTTCTATATAGGTTTGTAACGAATTCCAATTACGAAATTCGAAATAAGCATAAAACAATACCTCTTGCATCATATATAATCAAACATTAAATTACCTTTTGAACAAAAATCTTTGTTTATTAATTTTACTGGCCCCCAAATGGCTATGAACTTGTTGAAAATGGAGATATCACATTCATCTTTTTATTCCCCATTTCTAGTAGAGTACCTGAGACAAAGCTAGCAAATGCCGACTGATTGAACAATTCCAGCTCTGTTATTAAAATCATCATATAACACAAACTTGTCAATGGAAAAGTTAACTTTCAGATACCAAAAAAAGGGAAATAAGCTATTGCAAATAATAATCAGGTAAAAAAATATTTATTCTGTTTCAGCATAGTGTTATAAATATTGAAATGTAAATTAAAGGCAGTAGGGCACACCTATATCTTGTTTCTAGTTTTTGCTGATAGCTGTATATAATCAACTATTATTGCTTTGATACCACCATATAACGTGGGTTATAAGATTTTCAGATAAAAGCAACTCTTATTTCATTTGTTTTTCTTGAATTACTCCATATAGGAAGAGGCTTTGGAATCGTATTTCTTGCTTTGAAATTTTATTTCTTGCATTTATATGCCTTTGCAATAAAATCGTGTTAACTTATAATCTCTCACGCAATGGTTTCTCCTAGTGTTTAATAAAATGGTATTAAGGGTAACTGCTACTATTTTTTCTAAAATTAGAAGGTAACATTGAATGGACACACAGCAGATACATGTTACATTCTGAAATGTATGCTTTGCTGGAGCAGAATGAATGCAATCAATGTAATGGAAATGCTGCACTAATGGCTCATTAAACATGGAAAGTATGCATAGATGAAAAAAGTCTGTGCATATGTTTCAGTTCACTGAAGGAAGCAATGAACTATAATGTGGAAAGAAAAGGAAACATACTTCTTTACGTAAATATTCTTACTTCTGGAAAAGAATTGTTGAATCAGTCAGGAATTTGACAGCAAGATTTCAACTATTGGAGCAGACAACTTTATATTGTAATTGATGGATCTGGTGGACTTTTAAATATTTTTTTTCCCTATTCTGTGCTTTTTCACATTGTTTCTATATCTTTTTGTTTTTTTGCAAAGTTCTTTAATTGATCAATATTTTCTTTTGTGATATGTGTTTTATTGCTCACAAGAAAAAAATTTCTCTATTTAAATGTTATACTCTCTTACACTTTCTTTCAAACTGTCACTTATACCACTGCAATTCACCCCAAATTATTTTAGTATATGATGTGAAATCCAAGTCTAGCTTTACTTTTTTCACCTTTATTCAATTGTCCCAGAAACATTTATCAATTATTCCACATTTCTTCACTGATTTGTAATATGCCCTTTGTCTTAAACCATGCAAAGCTCCCCAGCATCAATAGAAAGAGAGAGGAAGTAGATGATAACCTTTTGCAGTGGGAAACAAAAAAGATATTTTAAAACTCTTGTTTGTGTTTGGAACTGTCACCTCCTATGACATGTCAAACAACCTTATTTGGCATTGGATAGTGTAAGTAATTTTTTGCCCTGACAAAATATATTTAGGTACCCACTTGAGCAAAACTTATAATATAGATTTAATCATATATTCACTGTTATCATCGACTTCATTGTGTTCTTCTACCTCTGCCTGATGCACCTCTTGATTATTCAGCATTGTTGCCAAGCATTTGCTGTTAGTAGCTGATAACATTCATCTTCTTTTGCTAAATATTTCTCATATACAAGAAGATTTAAGACTGTTTATCCCTGTAGTTGGAAGATTTTTCCTCTAAAAGCTGTTTATACTTTTCCTAGCACGAAGACCTGCTTATATGCCACACAAGTGTCTCTTAAAAAGTTAGTCACTCAATGCCCTGCTAATAGGAGTGAAAAAGACACTAGAAACAAAAATCTTTTCTAACCAGAAAACCACTTTTGTATAAATTTTGAGCTCCTTGCACCACAGTGACTACAGTGTGCCTCACTAAGGTAAACATAGAAAATGGTATCATTTATTGTTTCAAATTAATAGGGTAATTGTAAATATGATAAGTTTATCGAAGATATTACAGAAGTATACATTTTAAGACAACCCTAGAAATAATTCTTTTAAGAGCATGTTACAATTATTATTTTAAAATGCATTACTCCTACCCTAATTTTAGTTGGAAGAGATGTATGAAAATTACAATGATTGTACTGCATAGAATATGTCATTTTTGTTTGATTTTTTAATTAGCAGTTTAATTTGTGCAGTGTCGAATATAAGAGATAATTCTGATAGGTTTGTCATCACAGAGTCTCTGGCAGTTAACATGAATACAAAATATTAAATGTATTACTTACCGCAGTAAACGGTCACTAGTCAGTAGGTTGATAATTCGCATCTTGTAGAACACTGGCCATGACTGATGGATTTTTATCCTTTCTTATTATGTATACGTTTTTTTTCATTAATAGTGTTCCCCCTCCAAGTCAGTTTTTATATTCAATCCTAGCACAAATGATTTTAAAAATGAAAGAGATGAAGGAGATCATTAGATTCTAGCAGAGGAAAAGTTGTAATACAAGTTGGTTTAGAACCAAAGTGCTTTCTAACTTTCCCATTTGTTTGTTTTTTGTTTTATGTTTAGACTTGGTATTAAAAAATGAAGATGTAAACAATTCAGTTAGGAAACCTTCAGAGATATTCTGCACTGACCTTCATTAGAGTTTGTGTAGTGCATGACCGTGGTAATATCAAATGGTTGCGTAAGTATCTACAAGGCCCTTTTTCAAAAAAGCCATCAAGTTGCATCTCTCTAATTATTGCAAATATCTTGTTTACTCCTATTTATTCACTACATCACTTGAAGTTTCCTCTTGAATCTGAGCATGTCCTGTAGGTCTACCTTAGAAGAAAGGAAAAGTGCTGTCTTCCACATTGGGTTTCAGCTGGGCTTACAGCCAAGTGTACATTGCAATTTGCAATTATCTCCTTTTCCTGCTTGTGCTGGCAAAGAGAGGGAAAATTTTAAATATACTCTCTGTGAAAAGAGTGTGAGATCAGAAAACAGACAGTATTATGAATACTTAATGTATTTCCTACTCAGGACAATTTCCAGCACTTTTCTTTTGGGATTTAGGCTTCTGTGTATAATATCCCCTTGAAAACTGAAGAAGTACAAGTCTCCTTGCTTGTAAGCGACTAAATGGCTGACATTCTGGATGCATGTTTTCATAGACTATTGTGTTTTGAGTAAATATAAATGGGATCACTGGATAAATGGATTTGGAAGAGTAACGAAACAAGAATAGCATGGGGGAATTATCTCACAGGAACATTAAACTTAAGGGGATTTAACTGTATTCCCATTAAGAGAAAAAGATTAAAATAAAATATGTACAGCCACGTGTCATTTAGTGACAGGGATACCTTTTGAGAACTGCGTCCTTAGGAGATTTCTCATCATGTGAGCATCATCATGAACAGTCATGTGTTTCTGAACAACCGGGGTATGTTCCAAGAAATGTGTCATTAGGCAATTTTGTCATAGTGTAAATATCACAGAGGGTACTTAAACAGACCTAGATGGTATAGCCCCCTACACACTTAGACTATATGGTATATCCTATTTTTCCTAGGCTATAAAAATTTTCAGCATGTTACTGTAGTGAATACTGTGGGTAAATGTAACACAATGGAAGTATTAATATATCTAAGCATATCTAAATATAGAAAATGTAATGCATTGTCCTAAAATGTTAGGATAGCTATGACTTCACCAGGTGATAGAAATTTTTCAGTTCCCCTATAATCTATGGAATCACCATCATATAGGCAGTGTGTCCTTGACTGCAACGTTATGTGGCATATGACTGTACATCTATGTAAGTTGCATAGACCATTTTAGTCTCCATTTCACTCTGTGAGAATGTATCCTAAACGGTAAATGCAATTAAGTTTTAAAAACATGTTGCAAGCATACACAAAAGCATAGAGTAATTGTGCAAATTATTTTAAAGTTTTCCAGGCCATAGATGAAAAGGTAAAGTTCATTGCTTAGGTAGCCAGGGAAAAGGAGAGTGATAGAAACAATGGCAGTCTTGGGGTAGACAGTGAAATACTGAGAGCCTTTGACAGTCATTGAAAAAGAATTGGAGCCCGTTCTCCATGTCGTGCTTATTTCAGATTGCATGCCTGTATCAAAACATCTCATGTACTCCATAAAAATACACACCTACTATGTACCCACAGAAATGAAAAATTAATTAGAACAATGAACAAAGAATAATGGATTTATATGGGTGTACATAAATCCAAGTGTGTAATAGTTTATACACATGGACTTATCAAGAATGATAATTCTTTATCATTCATGATAAATGAAACAATCTTTATCATTCTAAATCAATGAAACTATCAAGAATGATTTAGATGTACAGAATTTATAGTGAGGCATGACCATTAGAATCTAGCCAGAATATAGCGTACAATTTCACTATATTAACATATTCTTGAAATTGTCTATTCATTTGGTTTCTACTGGATGGTACAATTAGAGATGAATTAGGGAGGGACAAGAAACTAGCATTTACTGGGTCTCTAACATGTGCCAAAGGCGAATGGCACCTCAGGAAGGTGCAGCTGCCTTTACGTGACATAGGGAAGAAAACATTTAGAAAATGATATTTGATCTTCCTTGAGAAATACAAATAGAACCTATCCAGATGGAGGAAGGCAGTGAGCAATAGCATGTTTGAGAACATACTTTTGTTCTCACACATCATGTACCAAACACAGAAGAAAATGACGCATCTAAAATTTTTTTTAAAACTACGCTGATGCTTTTTTTTCTTCACAACACATTTTTATGGTTTTTTTTTTTTTTTTTTTTTTTTGAGACGGAGTCTCACTCTGTTGCCCAGGTTGGAGTGCAGTGGCACAATCTCAGCTCACTGCAAGCTCTGCCTCCAGGGTTCATGCCATTCTCCTGCCTCAGCCTCCCGAGTAGCTGGGACTACAGGCACCCGCCACAACGCCCGGCTAATTTTTTGTATTTTTAGTGGAGACGGGGTTTCACCATGTTAGCCAGGATGGTGTCGATCTCCTGACCTCGTGATCCGCCTGCCTCGGCCTCCCAAAGTGCTGGGATTACAGGTGTGAGCCACCACGGCCGGCCCATTTTTATGTCTTTTAAGCTCCAAGTTTTCTTAGCTATTTTCATCTGTCATATATAGCCTCAATATATTGTTGCCTGGCACATAGTAGGCATCCAATTAAAATTAATTGAATGCATGACTGAAACAAGAGTTTCTCTTCATTATGATTCTTAATTTAAGCTTAAATTTAGAAATCCTCTTCTTATCATTTTTCTTAGTTTAACTCAACACTAATAAGATTGTCGTTTCTATCATATTCTGTGTCTTTCCCCATGATTTCCATAGCTCTTTGAATTAGGATAATGACTTTTTTATTTTATTTTATTTTATTTATTTATTTATTTTGAGATGTAGTCTTGCTCTGTCGCCCAGGCTGGAGTGCAGTGGCGCCATCTCGGCTCACTGCAACCTCCGCCTTCCAGGTTCAAGCGATTCTCCTGCCTCAGCCTGCCGAGTAACTGGGACTACAGGCACCCACCACCACGCCTGGCTAATTTTTGTATTTTTAGTACAGACAGCGTTTCACCATATTGGCCAGGCTGGTTTCAAACTCCCGACATTGTGATCTGTCCGCCTCGGCCTCCCAAAGTGAGCCACCGCGCCAGGCCTAGGATCATGACTTTTATAACCTGTAGCGAGAAAAGATGCAAATCTTTCTCTTATTGGTATGATTCTGCTCAAACTCAGATACACAATCTAGAGTCAAGATGACACCGTAAAATTATTTTTTTTAAAAAAGAAAGAAGCCTGGGCATGGTGGCTCACATCTGTAATCCCAGCACTTCGGGAGGCTGAGGTGTGTGGATCACTTGAGGTCAGGAGTTCGAGACCAGCCTGACCAAAATGGTGAAACCCTGCCTCTACTAAAAATACAAAAATTACCCAGGCATGGTGGCAGACACCTGTAATCCCAGCTACTTGGGAGGCTGAGGCAGAAGACTCACTTGAACCCGAGAGGTAGTGGTTGCAGTGAGCTGAGATCATACCACTGCACTCCAGCCTGGGCATCACAGCGAGTCTCAAAAAAAAAAAAAAAAAAAAGAAAGAAATAAGAATACGAACTGCAATCACATTTCCAGGCTGATTGTAAAATAGGAACAGCACACTTGAGCCAAAGCAAAGGTTTCAAGAAGGATAAGGTCAAATGCACAGAATATGGGACTTAGATTGTCAAGCTGAGGTTAAAGTCAGTAATTATTGGAGAGACCTAGGGATTCCAACTTTAGACTAGGAGCATCTAGGCTGTCATAAGTAAGAAGAGAGCAGGGGCTTTAAAACTTGGCTGTCACAGGTAGCATTTCTTTTCCCCTTGACCCTGGGGCACAGGTTGTCCACTCGCAAATGTTTTCGTGTCACCTGACACTCACCTTCTCTTCTCGCCAGTCTTGCAGGCCACACCTTACTCCTACCACATCTTGCCCTAGGTTTTCCTTTTCTTGCACTGAAAGTTCTCCTAACTTATGCCATCCTACTGGGGAAAAAAATAAGTTTCTTTTTCTCCCTGCTACATAACTACATTACAACACTTAATAATCCCATTCAGGTCCAAAATGCACATCTTTCTCTTTGCAAATAGTTACTATACTTTCTTTAAACATTCTTATTACTTATTTTGAGAATGTTTCTATTTTCTCAGTTTTAGCATTTCATGAGTCTTTGACAGCTGGGTCTCAGAGAGAGGCCAGTTAGGAATTGGACAATCGTCTTAAGCAGGCTCTGGGTTTCCTGTACTTTTCTGTGCAGTGCCTGTGCTGATTAAACTATGACCTGCAGTTTTTCTTTTTACGGAGTTCATAGTGGTCATTTGAAATATGATGTGGCATTCAGAAAAATTACTCTTTCTCCTGCAGTTTCTGTGAATATATTTTACACTGCAGCAATTGTCATACAAGGCATATAAGGATTTATTCAAAAATTTATCAACAATCTGAGATGCATTGGTAAGAATTACAATGAAAATATTAGTTGTTCTTTATATCACTGCAAACAATAGACAAATCCTTACATGCAAGAAAACTTGCTATGATGTTTCAATATTGTAATTTCAGCCAATCTAAGGCTAAGGTTCTCCAAAGTTTAAATATGGTATTTTTTTTTCCTTTTAGAAAATCCCCATACATTTAATAGCCCAGTTATAAACATACTGCCCATGTAGGTCTCCTTTACTTGTGACCTCTAGCTGTGAGAGAATCCTTAGGTTCCAGAGACCAGTAGTTCACTGTGTGCTAAAGGACATGCTTTAGCTACTCCTTTGCTACTCCTTTTGAATTCTTTCTCCTTTTCTAAGTGGGCAGCTCTCACCCGCTCATTCTCTGGGCTTTGCATTTAGAATGATTGGTCTTCCCCACTATTATTTTAGACAATTACATTTATCATGAGAAATTAATCCTTGAGGGATCAATGATGCGTGCTTTTCTCTGGCTCACAGGAACAAAACTATTATTCATTTTCCACTTGACATAAAGTGACCCGTGAACCCATTTACATTTTCATTCCCCTGCTGGCAGTACCAGTGAAGCCCTTTGTCAGTTATCAGCTAGTAGTGACCCCTGCAGGCACAGCCACCACTCAGCCCAGGGAGGACTGCTTCCGGGGCAGGTCCCCTAGGTGCCAATAAAGAATGCAACCATTAGCCCACATGTAGGGACCTAAATAACGCTGGTCAGGGTCTTGGGTCTACCTATGTGAAGCAAACAGGCAAATATTAACAATTTTGCTGTGACCTGTATTTGAGTGATAAAGGTGTAATTCGAAGTGAAGAACTATGAGAGCTGGGGCATTTGTCATTGGAACTTTTCCATTTTCTCTCTAAGGGTAACTTTCTTTCATTTTTACACCCTCTACCCTGAAAGTTGTCTTCAGTCTTCAGTCACTGCCCCTGTATTCCATGCCATTATATTATGTCATATATTGGTGACTCCTGTCCCTGGAAAATTTAATGAGAAATGGGAACGAAAATAATATCGTCATGGTGGAATGACAGGCGGCTGATATTGTTGAGCTAGGGAATGCTTGCAATGCTGAGCACAGCCACATGTGCCAGAAATAGGGAAATGTATGACACAAGACACAGTCTTGAGGTGCTCATGAGCTATTAGGAAGTTGCAGCATGATCTCACCATCTGAAAATGAAAAATGAATCATTCTCTGGGGAATGAGCTAAATTTGACTCCTGAAATCACCATGGTGCCAGGGATTACGGTCTCTGAATGTGCTACAGACTTGGAGTGACTAATGAGCTGCTTGAGGTCATAGAGAGACTTAGGCAATTAAAGACAATTAATGCACATTATCTTGCTTAAAACATAGAAAATGATACTCCAGTTACGCAGTGGTTACTTTTGTGACCTGTTTAGATAACTCTAAACACCATATTTCTCCTAGATTTTATAATCTTGTTGTTCATTCAGTATAATTTGTTTTCTAACATAAACTTGATCTTTACTGTTGTGAGATTCTTGAGAACAGAGACACTGTATGTTATTTCTTCTTTATATTCCCAGTGCATTAAGAGCTTCCAAAACAGTAGATTTTTGCTAAATAAGATAACTGTTGAACAAATGAAAGAATGAGCAACTGTAGAGCTGTGTTTTGTGCATTTTCTTTAACACAGTCTATTTTTACTGCTGCCGATCTTTACTGTTGCTGATCAACCTGAGTTGAGTTCATATTTGAGTGCAAAATTCTTCTTCTGACTAAGTAAGGAATACTTGAGATGATGCAGGATTGAAGGTTCCTAAGTTTATCAGTAAGGGAGTAAGGGAGTCAGCATATTTTAACCCACTTTGGGTAAAATATGACATTGAACTAAGAGACAAAAAACTACAATGAAATTAGTTAACATAGTTTTTTTGTTTGTTTGTTTGTTTGTTTTTTGAGACAGAGTCTCGCTCTGTTTCCGAGGCTGGAGTGCAGTGGCACGATCTTGACTCACTGCAACCTCCACCTCCTGGGTTCAAGCGATTCTCCTTCCTCAGACTCCTGAGTAGCTGGGATTACAGGCAGGCGCCACCACATCCAGCTAATTTTTGTATTTTTAGTAGAGACAGGGTTTTGCCATGTTGGCCAGGCTGGTCTCGAACCCCTGACCTCACGTGATCCACCTGCTTCGGCCTCCCAAAGTGCTGGCATTACAGCATGAGCCATCGCGCCTGGCCAACATTATAGAATTTTAAATTAAGGACATCTGAAAGATAATTGAGTTCAACATTTCACATTCACCCTAGACTGCTCTCCCAAGATCAGGAGCTACTGGAGATTTTGAAGGAAAACAGGCCTATTCCTAAAATGTAAAAAGTGAGCATGAAAATTGCATCTGATGATGACATTCAGGAGAAACAGTTAGTGTGCCTATGCAAGGTGATCCGTGTGGGACAGAGCCAGGACTATTACGAAGCACTTGATACCTCACCACGGAGGACTGATGAGAAAATTCATTATAAAGAGTTTGGCTACCGCGAAATGTAAGTTGACTTCTAAATAAAGAATTCAAATGAAATAAAAATGATCGACAAAAGTTGACTAGAAGTTCTCTAAAATATATCTATTTCTAATTTTATTTCATTTGATAATTACCTAAATTACTCTGAATCCTACCTTCAATTTTACTTGTCTTTGTTTGAACAGTAATTCTTTTGTCTCAAATGTCATGTATCTTTGCTTAATGCCATGAAATTTAGCCAGTCTTAAAAATCTTTGATAGAGGAAAGAAAAATGTCCTAAACATGTGTTATTTATTTTACTTCCTGAGTCTCAAAATGTGTTTTCATATTGTGCTTCAAGTGTCATGGTTTAGTTTTTGCCTTACTCATTTTTAATATATCTCATTTAATAGATTAATATTATATTCCCTTGTAACCTGCTTATTTCAAGAATAAAACACAATGTCTTAAATAGTAACACAATTAATTCAGATTTTTTTGACAGCACGATGTATAGTGCCTAAATATATTCAGCCAGATTTAAAACAGGGCATAATAAGTAAAAAAAAACAAAATTTCATAGTGTTGAAAAATCGATTTGGTGTTTAATATTTATTTAGATTTATAAAAATTGTTTCATATTGTCCCTTGTTATCACTAAGCAATTAAAGCATTGCTATCTGAGTAGAACTGCCTTGGATATTGTGTAGCTTATGAAGTTTAAATGGCTCAACACTGTAGGATTCTGATTTGCAAAGAAACAGTCTGAAAGCTCATCTTCCCAGGCTGGAAGACACTGGTTTATTTATTTCACTGTATTAGGCAAGACAGGATGATTTTTTTTTTTATGTTGAGTGGATGCCTTTTGGAAGATTAGAAAACTCTGAGGAAGAGGGTTCTGAACAACAAGCCATCTCAATTTACTGATCACCAGCAGTGGAGGCAAAAAATGAGAAAATCCATGAGTTTCCTCTTGATCTATTAAAGTCCTATTTGTGATCCAAATCAGAATTGGAAACTTTCTTCATAGCCTTAGTCCACTGTTTCTGAATTAAAATCACTTCATCATGGTGTTATTTTGAATACTGTGATCTTAATTAAGATCCAAACCTTAGTGAACATTTGGAAAACAATAGAATTTGCTGCAAAGTGTTACAAAAACATGCAAAATTTCTAATCATTGTCACTTACTAATGAAGTTTATGTTTCTGTAAAAGAATAGCCTGTAACTAAGTATTCTTTGGGGTTGTCTTTAAAACTGATTTGTTTAAATTTAAATTCCCAGATGTCTTAATAGAAGACAGTAAAGTCCTAAAACAAAGGTATTCACTGTGTTCAGCTCCTTAACACCAAGTACAGATCAATTTGTTAGCTGCAGTGTTGGATATCTTCCAGCACTAAAACTGACAAGGTGATATTAAGATAAAATATATTACCTCCTTTCAGTGTTAAGATATCTTAAACCTGGAACTGGACTCAGAGGAACAATTTATGTAGAAATGGTTTTCCATGAGTGTAGAAATAGTTTGGGGCAAATGTTAAATTTTTGAACAAATGTTTCCTGAATCTCCTTTTTATGTACAGCAGGGGTTCACAAACTCTTTCTGCAAAGGACCAGATACAAGTATTGTAGGCTTTATCGGTCAGCCAAACGATGTCAGTTTCTGTCTCTATATTCAAATCTGCCCTTGTGGCATGAAAGCAGCCATGGACAATACCTAAGCAGATAGTCATGGCTGACTGTTCCAAAAAAAAATGTTATTTACTAAAACAGGTGACTGGCCAGAGTTGACCAACCCCTAATGTAGAACATTGTGTTGAGAATCGTTTAGGAAATGAATTTATAAAAAAAACAAAACAAAACAAAACAAAAAACAGTGCTACTCCCCTCCTGGAGCTTATCATATGATATAAATCAAAGAAGCTTATGCATAAATACTTAAATAATAAGTAAAACTTGAAATGTACAAGAGAAGAAGGTGCATGATAAGAGTCATGTAAGAACGGCAGGAAGGTGGGGTCCATGTGTACAGAGGAGAGGGGGTGCAATCATTTAAAACTAAGGAAGAATTGCAGGCACTCAAAGCTGTCAAGCAGTACCCTGATGGATGGAGACTGCCCTGTAGAGAAGAGAGCATAATGGAACCCTGGGAGAGCCATGTTCTTTCCACCCATCTCACAGTCTTTGGGCTGCTTTGTTCTTCTCTAAATGCAGAGTAACTATTCATATCACTGTCTTATAGAGGAGGATGCTAGGAACCAGTGTTGGACAAATTAGCAGAGTCAGAACTCACATTGGGTTTTTCTTACTTCAAATCCCTCAGGATTTTGCACAATACATTCTTGCAGGTCATTCAGGCAAGGTGTATTAAATTGCATTTTTCTTGAATGGCGTACACTCTAGCCTAACTAAACATGGGTATTTTGTTGTACTAAATAGGAGTAAAGGTTGAAAATTTTGGGTACAAGCAGAAGTTGGATGGTTTTGAATGCAAAGATGTTTGAAGTTTAGGTGGGAAATAGAAGAGGACCCTTAAAAGTTTTAAATTATAGAATAAGATAATTAAAATGATGATTTATAGAGAGGTGAATCTGCTGAAATATCCAGGCTATAGAAAACCGTTATGTAGTGCTTGACTAAACTTTATTCAGAGGGATAATGACTAAGAATTAGACACATCATGGAAACAGGTATGTGAGGGGTCGCACACTTTTGAGTACAACAGGTGTCATTTGCAGGAATATACACATGACCATGGTTTTGAGAAACCTTACGCTAGACTAGCAAGAACTTCAATCTTCCAGGTATCTCCTCTAAAATATCATTATGGTTGTTCAGAGGTAACCCTTGGCATCAGTTCTGACTCTCTCATGTTCTGCTTCTCTTAGTGAAGTGGAAGTGGATGTCACCTTTGTGGCTGGACACCACAATTTCTGCTCCCCATAGAGCTCCACAGTGGTGCTCCTTGAGCCTCTCTAGTTGGGTCTAATAATGGAAACGTAAATTATTTGGGATTGTCATTGTCTCTGTACGCAACTTCTACTTTAAGCCTTATCAGTCTCACTCTTACTCCTTCTGGTCTTAGTGTAACATGCACAGAGATGAACAGGAAGAAGTATTCTGGTAGCATGATTGGGAAAATTGTCTACTCATCTGTGTATGCTTTATGAAAGGCACAAACTCTCTGAGCCCAAAGGGTTATCACCCATGCCTGTACAATATTTCCCACTTAGACACACACTCTTACATGAAAATTCATGTATAAAATGGAATTCTCCTGCCAGGGAGCATTCACTGTGCCCAAGAGCTCAGGCTGTGCCCAGAACCAGCTGCCGCCTTTGACGTAGGCCTTAGTGTGGAAGGTGATTCACCAGTTTACTCTTTTAATATCTGCAATCTGGCCTCCATTTAGGGCTGCTCAATCCACCAGATGAATATTTATATCTTTGAGCTACTATTGAGGGTTTCATCCCCAGCCATTTCTCCTACAGACAAATGATTCTTAGGTTCCTGTGTTACACAGTATGAGCAAGTATATATGGAGGATGGGGAATGACGAACACAAGCATCCAATTCACAATGCAAATGTACTCAGGAAAAGATGATGCTTGATTATTCATTAGCAGGGTTTGAGCTTCAGATCAACCAGACCATATATCATAGCAGAAAAACCTTTTCTGTACTCCTGCCTCAGCAATATCTGGATTCAATATCTAGTTCAGCCTAAATCTATTGTATACTAAATAGTGTAAAAGAGGTATTTAATAGATAATTTTTAAAAAGCAAAACCATGATCACACAACGCATGGTAGCCCCAAATTGTAATTTCTTGGAGGTGGGACACAGGCAGCCAAAAGGAAGTGAAGCACTTGGTAGAATGTACATGAAACGGTGCACAGTAGTTGATGCTGCTTGGGTGAAAGGAAGGGGAAAAATCTATTGATCACAGAAGATCAATGTTTAGTGATCTGGTTTTGTGTGTCAGATACCTTACTAAACGTTTTTACATTGGACCTCATTTAATCTTCATGATAGGCCTATGTGTAACAAATTGTTGAATAACTTAAAGATGTCAGGTGGAAAATATGATTTCATTTGTTCTTTAATAATTTTTATTGATGTAGACTTTAGTAACATTATTACATATTATGTTCATATGCATGTAACCTATATATTTCCTTTCAAACAAAACTATATTCTTGAAATAAAAGTTAATACTAATCCTGTGAAGAAAGTCATTGGTAGCTTGATGGGGATGGCATTGAATCTATAAATTACCTTGGGCAGTACGGCCATTTTCACGATATTGATTCTTCCTACCCATGAGCATGGAATGTTCTTCCATTTCTTTGTATCCTGTTTTATTTCATTGAGAAGTGGTTTGTAGTTCTCCTTGAAGAGGTCCTTCACATCCCTTGTAAGTTGGATTCCTAGGTATTTTATTCTCTTTGAAGCAATTGTGAATGGGAGTTCACACATGATTTGGCTCTCTGTTTGTCTGCTATTGGTGTATAAGAAAGCTTGTGATTTTTGTACATTGATTTTGTATCCTGAGACTTTGCTGAAGTTGCTTATCAGCTTAAGGAGATTTTAGGCTGAGACAATGGGGTTTTCTAGATATACTATCATGTCATCTGCAAACAGGGACAATTTAACTTCCTCTTTTCCTAATTGAATACCCTTTATTTCCTTCTCCTGCCTAATTGCCCTGGCCAGAACTTCCAACACTATGTTGAATAGGAGTGGTGAGAGAGGGCATCCCTGTCTTGTGCCAGTTTTCAAAGGGAGTGCTTCCAGTTTTTGCGCATTCAGTATGATATTGGCTGTGGGTTTGTCATAGATAGCTCTTATTATTTTGAAATACGTCCCATCAATACCTAATTTATTGAGAGTTTTTAGCATGAAGCGGTGTTGAATTTTGTCAAAGGCCTTTTCTGCATCTATTGAGATAATCATGTGTTTTTTGTCTTTGGTTCTGTTTATATGCTGGATTACATTTATTGATTTGCATATATTGAACCAGCCTTGCATCCCAGGGATGAAGCCCACTTGATCATGGTGGATAAGCTTTTTGATGTGCTGCTGGATTCGGTTTGCCAGTATTTTATTGCGGATTTTTGCATCAATGTTCATCAAGGATATTGGTCTAAAATTCTCTTTTTTTGTTGTGTCTCTGCCTGGCTTTGGTATCAGGATAATGCTGGCCTCATAAAATGAGTTAGGGAGGATTCCCTCTTTTTCTATTGATTGGAATAGTTTCAGAAGGAATGGTACCAGTTCCTCCTTGTACCTCTGGTAGAATTCGGCTGTGAATCCATCTGGTCCTGGACTCTTTTTGGTTGGTAAGCTATTGATTATTGCCACAATTTCAGAGCCTGTTATTGGTCTATTCGGAGATTCAACTTCTTCCTGGATTAGTCTTGGGAGGGTGTATGTGTCGAGGAATTTATCCATTTCTTCTAGATTTTCTAGTTTATTTGCATAGAGGTGTTTGTAGTATTCTCTGATGGTAGTTTGTATTTCTGTGGGATCGGTGGTGATATCCCCTTTATCATTTTTTATTGTGTCTATTTAATTCTTCTCTCTTTTCTTCTTTATTAGTCTTGCTAGCAGTCTATCAATTTTGTTGATCCTTTCAAAAAACCAGTTCCTGGATTCATTAATTTTTTGAAGGGTTTTTTGTGTCTCTATTTCCTTCAGTTCTGCTCTGATTTTAGTTATTTCTTGCCTTCTGCTAGCTTTTGAATGTGTTTGCTCTTGCTTTTCTAGTTCTTTTAATTGTGATGTTAGGGTGTCAATTTTGGATCTTTCCTGCTTTCTCTTGTGGGCATTTAGTGCTATAAATTTCCCTCTACACACTGCTTTGAATGCGTCCCAGAGATTCTGGTATGTTCTGTCTTTGTTCTCGTTGGTTTCAAAGAACATCTTTATTTCTGCCTTCATTTCGTTATGTACCCAGTAGTCATTCAGGAGCAGGTTGTTCAGTTTCCATGTAGTTGAGCGGTTTTGAGTGAGTTTCTTAATCCTGAGTTCTAGTTTGATTGCACTGTGGTCTGAGAGACAGTTTGTTATAATGTCTGATCTTTTACATTTGCTGAGGAGAACTTTACTTCCAACTATGTGGTCAATTTTGGAATAGGTGTGGTGTGGTGCTGAAAAAAATGTATATTCTGTTGATTTGGGGTGGAGAGGTCTGTAGATGTCTATTAGGTCCGCTTGGTGCAGAGCTGAGTTCAATTCCTGGGTATCCTTGTTAACTTTCTGTCTTGTTGATCTGTCTAATGTTGACAGTGGGGTGTTAAAGTCTCCCATTATTATTGTGTGGGAGTCTAAGTCTCTTTGTAGATCACTCAGGACTTGCTTTATGAATCTGGGTGCTCTTGTATTGGGTGCATATATATTTAGGATAGTTAGCTCTTCTTGTTGAATTAATCCCTTTACCATTATGTAATGGCCTTCTTTGTCTCTTTTGATTTTTGTTGGTTTAAAGTCTGTTTTATCAGAGACTAGGATTGCAACCCCTGCCTTTTTTTTGGTTTCCATTTGCTTGGTAGATCTTCCTCCATCCTTTTATTTTGAGCCTATGTGTGTTTACTTTAAAGTTCATATGGCACCAAAAAAGAGCCTGCATCGCCAAGTCAATCCTAAGCCAAAAGAACACAGCTGGAGGTATCACGCTACCTGACTTCAAACTATACTACAAGGCTACAGTAATCAAAACAGCATGGTACTGGTACCAAAACAGAGATATAGATCAATGGAACAGAACAGAGCCCTCAGAAATAATGCCGCATATCTACAACTATCTGATCTTTGACAAACTTCACAAAAACAAACAATGGGGAAAGGATTCCCTATTTAATAAATGGTGCTGGGAAAACTGGCTAGCCATATGTAGAAAGCTGAAACTGGATCCCTTCCTTACACCTTATACAAAAATTAATTCAAGATGGATTAAAGACTTAAACAATAGACCTAAAACCATAAAAACCCTAGAAGAAAACCTAGACATTACCATTCAGGACATAGGCATGGGCAAGGACTTCATGTCCAAAACACCAAAAGCAATGGCAACAAAAGACAAAATTGACAAATGGGATCTAATTAAACCAAAGAGCTTCTGCACAGCAAAAGAAACTACCATCAGAGTGAACAGGCAACCTACAAAATCGGAGAAAATTTTCACAACCTACTCATCTGACAAAGGGCTACTATCCAGAATCTACAATGAACTCAAACAAATTTACAAGAAAAAAACAAACAACCCCATCAAAAAGTGGGCAAAGGACATGAACAGACACTTCTCAAAAGAAGACATTTATGCAGCCAAAAAATACATGAAAAAATGCTCACCATCACTGTCCATTAGAGAAATGCAAATCAAAACCACAGTGAGATACCATCCCACACCAGTTAGAATGGCAATCAATAAAAAGTCAGGAAACAACAGGTGCTGGAGAGGATGTGGAGAAATAGGAACACTTTTACACTGTTGGTGGGACTGTAAACTAGTTCAACCATTGTGGAAGTCAGTGTGGCGATTCCTCAGGGATCTAGAACTAGAAATACCATTTGACCCAGCCATCCTATTACTGGGTATATACCCAAAGGACTGTAAATCATGCTGCTATAAAAACACATGCACACGTATGTTTATTGCGGCACTATTCACAAAATCAAAGACTTGGAACCAACCCAAATGTCCAACAATGATAGACTGGATTAAGAAAATGTGGCACATATACACCATGGAATACTATGCAGCCATAAAAAATGATGCGTTCATGTCCTTTGTAGGGACATGGATGAAATTGGAAATCATCATTCTCGGTAAACTATAGCAATAACAAAAAACCAAACACTGCATATTCTCACTCATAGGCAGGAATTGAACAATGAGAACACATGGACACAGGAAGGGGAACATCACACTCTGCAGACTGTTGTGGGGTTGGAGGGGGAGGGATAGCTTTAGGAGATATACCTAATGCTAAATGACAAGTTAATGGGTGCAGCACACCAGCATGGCACATGTATACATATGTAACTAACCTGCACATTGGTCACATGTACCCTAAAACTTAAAGTATAATTAAAAAAAAAGTTAATACTAAAGAAAGTCTTTTTTCCCTAAAATATTATTGTACAAAGAGAGAACTCTTAATAAATGTTGACCTCTGACAGAAGCTTAATTTATCCTAAAGCATTTATTAAACATCTATTGTGTACTAAAAATTGGAAAGGCTTTCTTTTGAGGAAAAAATAAAAAGGCACTATATTTGTTCTCAAACACTAGCGATATGAATAATAGGTGTCTATATCTGAGAAAAATGCAGAGGAAATAGAAGGGTTATCTAAGTCTATTTGGGCTCGTATAGCAAAATTCCTTAGAGGTGGATAGCTTATCAACAATAACAAAAATGAATGTCTCACAGTTCTGGAAGCTGGGAAGTCCAAACTCAGGTTGCCAGCGTAGTCAGGTTCTGCTGAAGAGGCTTTTCTAGGGAGGGTCCTCTGGTGAGGGTCCTTTTCTGTGCAGATTGCCAACTCCCTGTTGCATCCTCATATGGGAGAAGTGGAGAGGGGTCACTCTCTGGCCTACTATAAAAAGGCACTCATTCCATTCATGAGAACTCTGCCTGCCCTTGTGACTTAATCACTTCCCATAAGACCCCACCTGCTAATACCCCCACCTGCTAATACCCATCATGGAGTTTTGAACTACAATATATGAATTTTGCATTCAGACCATAATAAAGAGTATATTTATTGCTTATCTAACGCTCTGTTTTAATCCTAAGAAATTTATATCACGCATCTACTTCGATGCTATAGCTAGACTAATACATGTTCATCTTCGTGCATTTTCCCATATATGCTATTTTACTTCCATCTGTACTTGAATTTTCTTAGTGGCTTGGGTAAAGCCTTGACATGTACACTTGTTAAAATGGCCTCTTGATGACTGACAAGATAACCAGCTACAATTAATGGTCATTGTAATGTTGAGGGGGAAAATCATCCTTGAAGATGATTAGATACTAAATGAATTAGCACACAGCATATTTAAACACAAGTATCAAGTCAACAAATATGATTTTATCAATCTTTAATAATTTTACTAACCTTTATTAATGTATATTCTAGTAATGATACTATATACTATGTACATATACAGGTAGCCTAGTATTTCATTTAAAATAAAATTGTATTCTTGAAATTAAAATCAATACAGAGGAAAGCTTATTTCTCTGAAATATTTACAAAATGCACAAATTTTTAAATTTCAAAATTTAACATTTGTGTTTTATTTTAATGAATACAATTTTCAAGTATGTTATATGTACAGAATGGAATACATAGCACAAAAGAATTATTTACTATCTGTGTATGAACCTAAACTGCATCAATGACCATATAAAGCAGGTAATATAATTTAAAATAAACAATAATGATGTAACAAATTTTTTCATATATAAAATGAAAATTTTGGAGATTAACACTGCGTCTGCCTTTGTGGGTGATTTATTCCACAGAGCTCTTTCAATTGTTTAGCTGCCTTGAATCTTGTAGCTTAGTTATAAAGAGAAGTTTGGAGGTAAATGTTCTGCAGCATTCAAAAGGCTTCCTTGAAAGCCATTTAATGCTTGAAAACCTTTTATTAATGTATTTGAAAATAGTCATGTTGGATTGGAATATGAGAGAAAAACTGATTTGGTTGATTTTCCTGGCTCATCAGTTTTGAGGTTATTGTAACTAACACACCTCAGTCAGAGGCACTAATGAATTAAACACACAGTGTTTGATTCTGTGCTGTCTAATACCATAGCAACTGGTCACATGTGGCTATTTAAATTAGAAATTCACATTAAAGTAAAAATTCAGTTTCTCAGTCACACTGGTTATGTTTCGTTTCTCTCTCTCTCTTTTTTAAAGGAAGTTTTGCTCTTGTTTCTCAGGCTGGAGTGCAATGGCACGATCCCAGCTCACTGCAACATCTGCCTCCCAGGTTCAAGTGATTCTCCTGCCTCCGCCTCCTTAGTAGCTGGAATTATAGGCACGTGCTGACATGCCCAGCTAATTTTGTAATTTTAGTAGAGACAGGGTTTCACCATGTTGACCAGGCTGGTCTCCAACTCCTGACCTCAGGTGATCCACCCGCCTCAGCCTCCCAAAGTGCTGAGATTACAGGCGTGAGCCACCGCGCCTGGCCCACACTGGTTATATTTCAAGCACTCAATAGATACACATGGTTTGTGGCAACTAATGGACAGTGCAGATGTAGATGGAACAGATCCATTCACACTGAAAGTACTATTAGCCAGTATTATTGTAAGATGTACGATAACCTCCTTTGCAATTTTATTTAGTCAAAAGATAGTAAATGCAGTGTAAAGTCATTAGAGAAATATTGACTTTTAAGGATAATTAAAAACCATTAGGATAATAAACCTATGTTAAGGTTATTCCTGATTAAATCAATACCATCATGAGACATATTCCAAAGATCCACTGTGAGATGCTTTATGGAAACTCTAATTTCTAACTAAAAAGGCATGATATGTGAACACTCATAGCTTAATAAAAATTATAGTTAATATGAATGGCAGCCTGTCATCATAAACATGGTTAGTAAATTTCCTGGTATCCCTCTCATATTCTTCCCAATTGGCATCATTCATGAAGTTTCTGTGTGATTAGTTCCAACTGGATTTCCAAGGTGATCCCCCTTTTCTAAAAGAAATAATCATAATCTCTTCCCTTTGCCACAATGATGACTTCATGAATATGAATTGAGCTCAGGCCCCAGTCCTACCATGAATTACATTCCTCCTATGATGCCGCTTGATTCAAGGGTGTACAAGAGCTTCATAAGGTCAAAACAAAGTGAAGTCCAGCAGTTTTGCTTTAGGATGAGGGAGATAGATTCTCACTTTTACCGGATGCTGGGGTGTGTGGACTGATACCCAGAATAATCATAGTTATGTTGTTGCCCTGAAAGGTGCTAGCCTGAAGATGAAGACATATAGAGGACAGGGGATGAGAACATCACACACTATCACTAAAAATCAGTTACTTGGGCTGGGCAGGGAGGCTGAGGTGGGTGGATTACCTGAGGTCAGGAGTTCAAGACCAGCCTGGCCAACATGGTGAAACCCCATCTCTACTAAAAATTAGCCAGGTGTGGTGGAGGGCACCTTTAATCTCAGCTACTCAGGAGGCTGAGGCAGGAGAATCACTTGAACCTGGGAAGAGGAGGTTGCAGTGAGCCGAGATCATGCCATTGCACTCCAGCCTGGGCGACAAGAGCAAAACTCCGTCTTAAAAAAAAATAAAAAATAAAAAAATAAAAAATAAAGTCAGTTACTTATTTACCTTTAACTATAGATGTCAAATTTAGAGTTAGATTTTCTGTTATGTAAAGTCAAAATTATTCTGAAACTCTTAGGTATGTGACGACTTGTAGGCAAAGTTATCTCTCCAAATTGGAAATTAGTAATCTTATTTAAATAGAGTCTTCACATTTAGTAAAAGCATATTGATGTTGGTACATTTAAATTGCAAAATAAAAGAATGACTTACTCTTTAGAAGCAAGAATAGGACTGGGCACAGTGGCTCACACCTGTAATCCCAGCATTTTGGGAGGCTGAGGAGGGTGGATAACTTGAACTCAGTGGTTTGAGACCAGCCTGGCCAACATGGTGAAATCCCATCTCTACTAAAAATACAAAAATTAGCCAGGTATGGTAGCAGATACCCGTAATCCCAGCTACCTGGATGAGAATCACTTTAACCCAGGAGGCAGAGGTTGCAGTGAGCAGAGATTGTCTGGGTGACAGAGAGAGACTCTATCTAAAAAAACAAAACAAAGCAAAACAAGAATAGACAGTATATTCACCAGGTATACGTATATTAACTTCTATTAATTTAATATTTTCGCAAATAGTTGTTTGAAGTCTCTGGTTTAGGATAGAACAGAAGTACATATTTTGGGTGATATCTGAAAAATGGACTCTGAAGGGAGCACAAGGAGAGAGAATCCAGAGTGAATAAGACAGTAGCTCACGGCTGGGCGCGTTGGCTCATGCCTGTAATCCCAGCAGTTTGGGAGGCCGAGGTGGATGGATCACCTGAAGTCAGGAGTTCGAGACCACCCTGGCCAACATGGCAAAACCCCGTCTCTACTAAAAATACAAAAATAAGCTGGGCATGGTGGCAGGCACCTGTAGTCCCAGATACTCAGGAGGCTGAGGCAGGAGAATCGCTTGAACCTGGCAGACAGAGGTTAAAGTGAGCCAAGATCATGCCACTGCACTCCAGCCTAGGCAACAGAGTGAGACTCTGTCTAAGAAAAAATAATAATAAACAAAAAAAATAGTGGCTCATGTTTCACAGGCGCGTAATCCACATCACTGCTGTGCATTCTGAGAGTGCAGGCGTGAAGTATAGTCAGTTCGGGATTGTAATCAGGGTCCTTAACTGAAAGATCTAAGGGAAACTAAGATGTTTTACCCCTCCCACCCTAGACACACAGACAATAACAGCGGTGATAAATTTCAAGATGAAATCACAGATGTGCTCCTCCATCTCCCATTCTCAAAATTAGGAAGGCTTTATTTTGAGGTGCCAGAGCACACATTAGGGGACATACACCTTCCTAGGTAGACATTTCAGATATTTTAGAGAGCATGTGAATTAAGAACTTGAAGTCCCAAAATAGTGTTTAAAGACATATGGTAACTAGCAGAGGCATGAAAACGCTATTTTTATCAGCAAATCCCAGGGAAGGATGGGGAGACAGATGATCCTGTAAGGGAGCTAAATTTCTTACCTTTCATGGCATAGAGTCAACCACTTAAAGTCTAATGATGATGAGCGAAGAAACCGGTATGTAATTATTGAGGCATCATTGTGGACACAACCAGGAAAATAAAATCTGAAAACAGGAGCCCTTAAAATACAATTTGAAATATGGTGTCAAGTTTGTTGGAGATTTGTTAATTCAAGTGGTGAGTTAACCTAAAAATATCACAGAGGCCAGGTGTGAGGTAAAAACACAAACTGTTTTCCTGCTTCTCTCGCACTACAACAGTGGGCACAGAAGGCGTCTGTGTGTGGGACTTTCTCTCCATGTACCAAGTAAGCAACCAGTTCTGCAGTGGACACAAGCTGACTGTCCTCCAGCCCAGTTGCATTCTGACCCTGTCTATCTGGAGAGAGCCTCAGATCCCACAGGGTGAGGGCTCCATCCCACAGGCCTGCCCTCCACTTCCCATGCCAGTTGCAAGCCCCAGGCTCTTTTACCTGTGCTTCTGACTGACCAGCTGTAAGTCAGGGATCCCACCACCTCCTCCTTGGGTTTGATTAATTTGCTAGAGTGGCTTACAGAACTCAGGGAAAGACTTATTTACATTTTCCAGTTTATTATGAAAGATATGACAAAGGATACAGATGAAGAGATGTCTAGGGTGAGGTATGCAGGAAGGGGCCTGAAGCTTCCATGCCCTCTTTGGGGACATCACCCTCTAGGAACCTCCATGTGTTCAGCTGTCCAGAAGCTCTTCGAACCCTGTCCTCTTGGACCTTTTATGGAGATTGCATTGGACAGGCATGATTGAAGCATGGAGAAATGTCATTACACAAGAAGGGTAAGGTATAGTCCTCATAGACTGGGTAGCGAAACCCGGCAAAGCCTGTCTGTTCTGTCTGCTCTGTCGATTCTTCTTGGCCTCGCTGTGCAGTATTCTTCTCTCCCAGGAATGGGGCAGGACTCCTGGAATGGGGGCCTATGAACAACAATCAGACAAGCAGATCAGAGAATTTCTTTGTAGCCCCCTCCAGGACAGAAAGGCGGAGGAAGATTCCTGCCCTGGGGAGAAAAATGAGTGGATAAAAGGAAGGGAGGAGAAAGGCAGAGAGAGTCTGTTTTCTGAGGTTTGCTCCTGAGGTCTAAAGAACCCCAACGTTATAACAAAGGCCACAGGAGTTAGAGCCAGAACATAAATGAAAATACATATATAAAAAACATAAAATAATAATGAAAAAGGGAGGAGGCTACTATTGTTTATGACTCAATGTAAAACTTGCAGAGAGAAATGAGTGAAGAATAATACTTCAATCATTCTTCTGTCTTGGTGTTCACAACATAGAGACACACACACATATACACACAGAATCAGAATCAGAATGAAGGAGACATAAAGATACCATATGTGCATAGATGGACTTCCTGTAAGAATGAATAGAGAAGGAAAGGAATAGAAATGTAAGAGAATACAAACAGTTATTCCAGTAGAGAATGAAACGATATAATTATTGAGTGATCGTTCATGGAGTGGTTTTGGAAGACTCTCAGGAGGAGTCTCCTGTCCTTGATGGCCTATTAGCCCTTTTTGCCACATGTGAACCCTAACACTCTGAAGGTGAAAGATAATAACAGACAGTGTTGAGACCAGAGCTAAAATTGTTGAACACATAATCATGACAGGGTAAATTAACTATTTCACTTTATCAAATGTTTTAATAAACTCTTAAATAATATGCATTGAAAAACTGGCATTTGATGTGGAACATTCTCTTAGATACTATATTTTATAATTTTTAAATTTATGTATGTATTTATTTTGGTGAGCAACTGAAAACTGCAATTGTCAGTGAACTTCCAAGTGAAATGCCTTTGCGCTGTCTGAGTTTTAGATCTTCAAAAGCTCAAATGAGTAATCCTGTCAAATTACATGGGTTGATATGGAAGAGAGATAAGTAAATAAAACTCCACTATAATATTTGTGTGGTACCACACACATTTGGCTTAAAAATAAAAAGGGATTGAAGACTGTGTAAAGAAATGGAATTTTTTAAAAGATAAGATAGGAGTAAATATAGAAAAGGTCTTAAATGACTTCAGGCAGTGAAGCAAAAAGCACATTCCCTTGTTTCTTCCTGTAGAATGATACCCTAGACCAGGCTATTAGCTGTGGATAGGAGCCCTTTATAGTTCAGCAAACTATTAATTTATAGTTTACCCTTTCAGCTAAGACATTGAAGCTATTCTTTAAAAATTTGAGATAATTTGACTATTTAAAAATTCAACTACCTTTGCAAAATCAAAACAGATCTGTTTTGTAAGAGGTTTGCCATTTCAGCATCTCACTGCAAGTGATAAGGTGGTTCAGTGTTTAACCAAAGATCATGGCCACTTGACCCGGTCTTCAACCCAGCGCTGTGCCAGGCTGCACATGGAGGGCACCAGCTGAGTATCACCAGCCAAAGGACTCTTTCAAATGACACCAGAAAAGCCTGTCCTGTTCAGAAAAATGACATTTCCAGGAGTTGGAATAATGCTAAACTACATGGTCTGTAAAGTTTCCTCTAAGTAATATCTAAGGCACTGTGAGTCTAGCCTTGGGAACATATTTGTCAAAAGACTATTTAAGAAGGGGAGATTTTTCAGTCCTCATTGTGTTCTCTCTCTCCCTCTCTCTAGTTAAATGTATATATTCATCAGGTATTTGAACTCATTTTGCTAAACATGGGACACAGAATTAATAGGCATTAATATTTTGTCCAAATTTAGATAATAAGATCATATATATATAATATATATATTTAACTCTCCTCTTGCTACTTTACTAAATATATATTTATTAATAGAAATGAGTATTACATGTTAATCTCTGAAGATCCCAAAATAAATAAGAAAGTGTCCAGCCTTTCAAGTAGCTCTCAGTGCATTGGGGAAAATGAATGAGAAAAGTAAGTTCTACTGTAGTATTAAAGCAAGAGTGTGAATAAAATTTTGTTACAGTTAAACACAGAGCACTTTTAAAAGTTTGAGATTTTGAGTAAGGTTAATTTATGGTTTAGCTATACCTCCTGTGGAAGTTCTGAAGATCTTATTGATTTTCTACATTTGGACAAAACATTAATGCCTATTAATTCTGAGTCCCATGTTTAGCAAAGTGAGTCCAAACACCTGAGAATCAAGTGACTTTCCCCCAGTATTGATTTTGTTAGTGGTAACAATTTGAAGATCTCCTTAACTCTTCTGTTCTCCCAGTTGTCTTTACTCTAAATGTTGCCCTGTGTATTTAAAACCTCTAAAATCCACATTCCTTCCCATAGCCTGTTCCCTTTCTACTTCCCTGGCCTCGTCTTATACTGTGTATGATAGCCACACTGGCCGCCTTCTATTTTTACAAAGATTGCTGTCTCTTTTATACTTGATGTTTCCCTCTTCCTAGAATACTACTCCCTCCAATCTTTATATGGCTGGCTCCTTCTTATTATCCAGATCGCATCTCAAATTGTCTCCACAGAGAGTGCTTTATTGATACTCAAACTAAATAACAACACCCTTGCCCCACAATTACATTTCATTCCATGTTTTTCCATTATTACAATTTAAGGTTTCACAGCCTTTGTGTCTGTAATTATTTTATTTGTTTATCATCTGGTTTCCTCTAATTGAAATAGGTCCGTGAAAGCAGAGTGTGATCTCTCCAATCCTGTATCTCCAACACTATGAGCAGTGTTGAGCCATAAGTCCAAAAAAATGTTTGTTGAAGGAAGAAATACTTCTAGTTCCCACAAATTATGCAAAGGGTAAAGTAAAATCTGTCTAAATATTATGAGGGCACCAAGAGGGTTACATTTGTAAAAAGAAGAAATAATAACTATGTAAGCTGAAAACTCTGTATTACTGACTCCTTATAAGAGGACTATAAAAGAGAAGAGTAAAATATAAATCAGATGATGAAGGTATAATATTTTCACATGTTTTGTTAATATTTAGTTTAACCTAAGTCATGTTAGGTTGGTGCAAAATAAGTGTGGCTTTGACATTACTTTTAATGGCTAAACTGCAATTACTTTTGCACCAACCTGATAAATGTAACCTTTTTCCAGGTGGATGTCCTAGTTGGTTAGTGATGCTTTTTCCATTAGATTTGAAGTCATTGACGTTGTCCAGGAAAAGAAAAGAGCCCAGGACAGAGTTTTTGGAGGATATGAACAGGCAGAGGAGGATGAAAATGAAAAGCCAGAAAGATTAATAGGAAATCAGGTGGATAGGGGGATGTGGTAATGTTGGTGGGGGTTACCTATGTAGTTCTAGTAAAGAAACCAAAAGGCAAAACAGAATGTCAGAAGGGGGCAAGTGATCAACACTATTAATGCTATGAAAAAGCTAATACAGGTAAGGACTGAGCTGTATGTGTCGGTGAAACTCAAGCTGCTGTAACACATAAGTCCTTGATTGACAATGGTTTGCCCAGTGGAAGGTTGATTCTCAGGAGCAGAACAGTCCAGGTAATCTTGGTTGGCAGGGAGCTTTGTAATAATTGGAGACCAGGTGTGGAATCTGTTTTTGAGTGGCTATAACAGGATACCCAACACTGGGTAATTTATAATGAAAAGAGATTTAATGGGCTCTGCAGACTGTACAGGAAGTGTGGTACAAACATCTGTTTCTGCTGATGTCCTCAAGTAGTTTCCAGTCATGGCAGAAGGGGAAGGAGAAACAGATGTGTCACGTGGCAAGAGAGGAAGCAAGGTGGGAGGTGCCATGCTCTTTGAAACAACCAGATCTAGCATGAACTGACCTATCACCAAGGCAACTGCGCTAAACTATTCATGATCCCTTGTAATCCAAACACCTACCACCAGGCCCCGCCTCCAACACGGAATTACATTTCCACATGAGATTCTGAGGAGACAAACATCAAAATTATATCATCGGGTTCCTTCCTTCTTTTGGCCTCACTCTATTTTAGGGTTCCAGAGTCCCCTACATTCAGCTACTGAGTGTGGAAAACAGACAAGAGAAGTCACAACTGCTTTTTCTACCCCTTAGCCTAGAAATTATACACATCACTTCTACTCATATTCCCTAGGCACAAGGTCCCATGGTTATGCAAAGGAGCCAAAAAATGTAGTTGGTAGAAGCAGCTATTTCTTGGATATAGATTTATATTATGGAAGGAGAAGCAGAAATAATGATGGGCAGTGACCCATCTTCTGTGATACTTTAGAAATTTGTGCAACTAAGTCATTTTTCACTTCATAAATATTGATTGATCTCCTAAAAATATAGGACTACATGGTAATTTGTGTCTGCTCCCAAAGAGTTATAACTTATTGGAAGAAATAAGATTTACAAATGAATTATGGTAATTCAAAGATATTTCTGATTTATTCGTGTAAATTTTGGGATAGAAAAATAGATGAGAACAGTAGAAAACAAGTACATGTGTATTACTAACCCAGCAAAAATATAAACCCTTTTTACTGCTACATTTTGCCATTTTCAGAATAAACTTGCATAAATTCTCCTCATTCTTAGCTCAAACTGTGCTGCTGATTGGATTGAACTACTTGTATATGAATGTATCTTGGTGTGATACGTAGCCCATTAAAAACCTAGTATGGATTTCTTAACTAAAATCCTGTATTCCTAATTTACGTTGATTTCCATTTTTTTAATCTCAAAGTAATATTTCAGTTTTATTATTGGGTAAACAATGTGTATTCTGGCTTAGAACACTTTAAAGTTATTTCAGAAGAGGTCACAGGGGAAGAAAGATCCAGAAAAGTGGAATATTTTCATGAATCATTAAGTTAATAACTTTGGAGGAGGAAGGTATGTCTAGAAAAGGCTTAAAACAAAACGATTAGACTTACTTTAAATATTTTTATTTCAAATTAAGTAGATGAAGATGGTATAAATCAGGAGTTAGCAAACCTTATATTGAAAAGGGCCGGACAGTGAATACTTTAGGATTTGCAGAACGCATATAATCTTCGTCACAAATATTCAATTCTGCCATTACAGCATGAAAGCAGACATCAGAGACAGGGCAAAAGCATAAACCAGCGAGTGTTAATGTATTTCAATAGAAGTTTATTAATTGACACTGGACTTTGAATTTCATACAATTTTCCTACATTATATAACATTATTCTTTCTTTGATTTTCCCTCACCATTTAAACATGTAAATGGACCATGCAAAAACAGGTGGTGGGCTGGTTTGGCCCATAGGCTATAACCCCTGGTATATAGAGCCATTAACATAAAAATACAATTTAAAGCTAATTTAGAAAATTTTACCCAAAGCTGTGTAAATTATAACACATTAATTATTATATTCTACATACTCATTTAGGGTGGAACTTTATAAAATATCTTTTAAAAATATATAATATATAAGATCATGTTATGTACTACAAAATTTTAACACAAACATTAACACCCCATTCTTTGTGTTTTTTTGAGAAGTTTTTGTTGTTACTTACACGAATGAAGCTATAGGAAATTATCCTAGGTCAGTTCAACAGAGGAGACATTTTCAGTCTTGCTCATGTTTAGCACTCTTTGAAAGTCTTGATGCTCAATTAGTCAATTAGTAGCCGCCAGATGGAGAAGGGTATTTCTTCACAGGAACACGTGTTGCTATGTGTGTGATTAAGAGGGTGAAAGATGCTGTTGTGTGTCAGACCTCTCTGTGTTCCTTTTAGATGTCACTAGCTCAATCACCAAGGGCAATGGACCATAAGATACTTATGTATCTTCTGCTTGGCTTCATGCTTGATGCCTCTGATCAGACTCAGTGTTTCATTTCCAGTATCACAGATGACAGAGTAAAATGCAAAATGTGTTGCTGCACATGTCAAAAGGTCCAGAGAAGAAAAGACAGCTCTACTTTTGCATTTGGATTAACAGCAATTGAAAATAAATGCCCATTTCCAATTCTTTGATATTGTTTAAATTTATATGTTTGATATCTGTTTGTTATTATCTACACGTATCCAGGGATTATTTGCCTAAGCTGCAAAATTGGAAAAAAAAGTACAGATTTAGAAAATATGCTGCCAATGGCTTAATTCAGATTCATTGTTAAACCACAATATTAAAGTACACTGTTAACATAATGTACACTGATAGTTTTGTTTGATAATTACCTACTTGAAATAGTAGACTGATAAATTGTCCCAATTGGAGAAGACCTTCAACCATCTATGCCAACCTTCTAGACTGCAATTATTAATTAATCATTTCTGGAACAAAAGCTCCTAAAAATGGCTTTTAAAATTGTGTTTTCTGCTGAAAGATTCTGCTGAATGGAAGTGGGAGTGTGAAGCCTAGGAAAGAATATATTCATTTCATGTTTTTGATTAGCTCTGAAATTTTATTTACCCTCTTACCTAGAGGAAGAGTGCCAGTGTATATTCCCTAATCCTCTGCTCAGGAAATTCAACACTTTCTGCAATTTGTACTTGAAAAAAGGTACACAATTTTAGAAAACATAGACAAAAAAAACAGAACAAAACCAAACAAAAGGCAATTATTGATGTGAAGCAAAAAGTATTAATGCACTAAAGAGTTGCTTCAGGATGCCTCCCTTGCCCCATCGCTACACACAACTACCCTACAAACGCCAAGATTCAAATGTGATACTCTCTTCCATATTACATTTGAATCTTCTTTTTCCAGGAAAAGCAGAGTATGTATGGGTGTACCCATAGTAAGCATGAGGGCTTCCATTGTTTTTCCATTTGGCGAGTTGAAAAACAAGTGTGCTGCATTCTCCTGTCTGTTACGGTACAGATATCTTCATTGGAGCACTATTTGTGAAGCACACAGTTTTCAAGTCTTCTAGAGCAAATTTGTTTGTCACCATCAGAAGGGCTGGAAATAAAAATATGTTTGCAATTGACATAGTGCAGGAACTGGTTAACAGCTTCAAAGAATTTATAAAGAATATTTGTCTCTGAAATGTTATAAATACCCATGGTGAAAAAGACCTACTTAGAAGATGTTTTCTTTAATATTCATTGTGTTTTACCAAATACAGTGAGGATATATGAGCAATTAGAAACATGTGCCTGCAGGTTGGCTCTTGCTTTCTTTGCAGACCTACTGCCCTTCTTGTTCTTCCTCTCCATCATTTTCATTGCCTTGTTAAGATTTATCTGGCCAGGCGCGGTGGCTCATGCCTGTAATCCCAGCACTTTGGGAGGCTGAGGTGGGTGGCTCAACTGAGGTCGGGAGTTCGAGACCAGCCTGATCAACATGAAGAAACCCCATCTCTACTAAAAATACAAAATTAGTCGGGTGTGGTGGGACACGCCTGTAATCCCAGCTACTCGGGAGGCTGAGGCAGGAGAATTGCTTGAATCCTGGAGGCTGAGGTTGTGGTGAGCCAAGATTGTGCCACTGCAATCCAGCCTGGGCAACAAGAGCAAAACCCCATCTCAAAAAAAAAAAAAAAAAAAAGATTTCTTAACCTGCTTTTCCCTCCGTTGCTTTTGCCTGTTTCCCTTTCCTAGTTTTCACTTTATTTTTTTTTCTCTCTCCTATTCTGTTTTTTATTCTTTGTTCCACTTTATATTCTCCCTTGGTGTGAAGAATGGCTGCAGTTTTAGTCATGGCTATAAGACAATGTCATTTTAGAGAGCTAATGTGTCCTGTCATTGAAAGGATGAGATGATAACAGAAGTAAGAGGGGCTGGTGTCCTACATCTCCACGGCAAGGATTTCGCCCTTCTCCCAATGGTGTGGTTCATTGAAATAGCTCCACATCCTCATTAAGTTTATTTTTATAGTATTTCTGTCTCTAATATTTTTTCCCCATGGAAAGATTAGGTTTTCTTTTTGAGTCCTTCTGGCTCTCCCATTGTCCCTGTTTGCTGGCAGTGGAAATGCTATAAATCAGTATTGAGGTCTGGCAATTTTGCATGCCGTCAGCTAAACATAATGCTGTTGAAATTCAAGCACAGTTCTTTTTAAGTAGACATTTAATTTTAGTAGAATTTGCATTTGACAGTTTGAATTCATGTGTTTCAGCATCTGAGTGAAATAGCCCTCTCTGAGTTCTAATGGAATGAATTTAGTGAAATTAACCTTTTGTCACAAAAACACACTATCCTAGGCAAAAGTTTTCACACTGTTTTCAGTCAGTTCTATGTAGTTATAATAGAATGAATCTTCCTAATTTAAGTCATAGAATGATAAAAGCAGTGATGAAAAGAGAATGTACACCTAGGAGTCCTTAATTACTCTGTGAAGTGCCAGCAATAAGTATGGGACATTGACGTGAAACTCCAGTTCATTACATCAAAAAAAATATTAATGGTGAGATGTCTGACACTGACAAAATACCTAGACATAACAAAGTGCTTGTGGAAAATGCTTGAATTTTTTTTTTTTTTTTTTTTTTTTTTTTTGAGACAGTCTTGCTCTGTCTCCCAGGCTGAAGTGCAGTGGTGCAGTCTCGGCTCACTGCAAGCTCCGCCTCCTGGGTTCATGCCATTCTCCTGCCTCAGCCTCCCAAGTAGCTGGGACTACAGGCGCCTGCCACCATGCCCGGCTAATTTTTTTTTGTATTTTTAGTAGAGACGGAGTTTCACCATGTTAGCCAGGATGGTCTCGATCTCCTGACCTCGTGATCCACTCGCCTTGGCCTCCCAAAGTGCTAGGATTACAGGCGTAAGCCACTGAATTTTTAAATTTACTCTTAATATGTATTCTTGAGCTAATTAATGAGAAAATTCAAACAATCATATTCAGTAAAGTTAACCATCAACACAGTCGATAAGTTTTTCACAAATATTCTCCCTTTTCTTTGAAATAAAGAAACCAGATATAGAAATAAGAAGTTTCTATTTTAAATATTTAATATTTCTTCTGGACAACATTAAAGCTATTAAACAATGCCATTGGCCAACTATCAATTGTTAAGTGTGTCCAAACCCTGGCATTCAATTTTTTTCCAAGACACTTAAACATTTAAAGTCTGTTTTTAAAATCTTAATTATTTTTATTAAAAAAGGATTTTTTTAAGAAAAAATGATTTTTTGGTAACACTTTAGGTTGCAATTTTTTTAATTTTAATTTTTTTTATTTCCATAGGTTATTGGGAAACAGGTGGTATTTGGTTACATGAGTAACTTCTTTAGTGGTGATTTGTGAGATTTTGGTGCACCCATAACCCAAGTAGTATACACTGTACTCAATATGTCGTCTTTTATCCCTCACCCCTCTCCCACCCTTTCTCCATGAGTCCCTAAAGTCCGTTGTGTCATTCTATGCCTTTGCATTCTCATAGCTTAGCTCTCACTTATGAGAGAGAACATATGATGTTTGGTTTTCCATTCCCGAGTTACTTCACTTAGAAGAATAGTCTCCAATATCGTCCAGGTTGCTGTGAATGCCATTAATTCATTCCTTTTTATGGCTGAGCAGTATTCCATCATATATATGTACACCGCAGTTTCTTTATCCACTCATTGATTAATGGACATTTGGGTTGGTTCCATATTTTTGCAATTGCAAATTGTGATGCTATAAACATTTTTGTGCAAGTATCTTTTTCATTTAGTGACTCATTTACCTCTGGGTAGATGCCTAGTAGTGGAATTGCTGGATCAAATGGTAGTTCTACTTTTAATTATTCAAGGAATCTCCTCACTGTTTTCCACAGTGGTTGTACTTGTTTACATTCCCGCTAGCAGTGTAGAAGTGTTCCCTCTTCACTCCATCCACGCCAACATCTATGATTTTTTGATTTTTTGATTATGGCCATTCTTGTAGGAGTAGGTGGTATTGCTTTGTGGTTTTGATTTGCGTTTGATTTGCATTTCCCTAATTATTAGTGATGTTGAGCATTTTTTCATATATTTGTTGGCCATTTATACGCCTTTGAGAATTGTTTATTGACCTTAGCCCACTCTTTGATAGGATTGTTCGTTTTTTTCTAGGCTGCCACTGTTTTAATAAAATAGTTTTTTTCTTTTTTACTAGATCATTCTTATGATTCAGTTTTACTAGCATTTGGCAATTAGCAATTATTGTATATAAATAAAGTTGTTTCGTTCTCTGAAGAACCTGCAGAGAACCCTCGTCTGGAGAAAAATTCTGTCAGGTCTAATATTTGTTAAGTTCTTAACAAAGAACCTGGAACACAGGCAAAGCTCAATAATTTTATTAAATTCAAACTGCATTCTTGCTGGTGAGCAAAACCAGTGTCTAAGGACTTACATGCTACATAGTTCTTTGATGCCAACATTAGATATAGAATGATTAGCAAATACGTTCCAAAATGCTTAATTCTTGTGAAAAATGTTTCAAGGTATACTTGAGGTATTATCCTTTTTTGTAAAGGCCATTTGAGATGACAATTTTTGAACTACTTTATTTTAAAAGCATTTATTATTAAGAAATTCATTAATTAGTACTCACTGCACCCTACTTTTAGTCCTGCATAATGCACCTGTATTTTTGTACTAAAAGGTAAATACAAATAAATGAAAATGAAAATATTGAACTCTAAGTATGTCAGGATTCCTATAGACATTTCACACTCTGAGATTATGCAAATTATGATAATCATGTTAATAAAGATTTGGATGAATTAATTGTTATTCAAAATGGATTAGTTTGCAAAACTTCAAATTAGTCTAAAATGGAGAGATTTTTCTGGCCTCATTCTATCTTCTTCGCAGGTCTTTGAAGACAGCTGTGTAGTATAGTTACTGTGATGATATTGTCACAGAAATAAGTTGAAGCATTTTGTGTATTTTGTGTACTACCAATGCCTAAATAACTAACTGAAAAATGTATATATATTCATAGAAAGATACCAGGGACAAGTGGAAAGTTACTTAACAATGATGTGAACTTTGACATACTTAAACTCTTTCGGTCTCAAATTTATTGTTCAGTACAATGGTTAACAATAAGGTGGTTATAACTATTTTATAATCATCCTATAACAATTGAGTGACTGTAAAAATGAAATAAGATAAACTTTCATTAAAGAACCTAGCATAGTATAATGACAGGTACATAAAAGTCCTCAAGTTTTAATTCTTATCCAAATTCCCGTAACTCTATTTCCAAGGCCTCAATTTTCTCACGAAAGGCCTCTTACTTTCTGAAATTCTATGATTTAGTTTTTAGTTCAATTAATATTTTAGCAAATGAGTAAGTTAATGAATTAATATATTTCCTTTAGAGTTTACTTTCTAATGCACATGCTGTTATGGTCCTATATGAGGAAATGTCTTTTAATGTGCAATATTAAAATTCACGGTCACATAAAATGAATAAAGTTTTAATGTAGAATATAACATTTTTGAATTCTAGAATTCAACTTACCAGAGAAAGAAAATCTTAGAAAACCTGGTTAAAATGGCTTTTGATAAGCACATTGAATATAAAAACAGGGTATTTATATATATATATGGATATGTTTTCTATCTTATTTTCAGATCGTAATTAGCCACTATATAGGTTTTGTCCTTCACAGAGGTAGAAAAAATACATTTAATCACTTCCAAAAATCTGTTTGAGTCCTGATAGCCTGATATCCTTTGAAATGCTTAAACTTTGTATTTGGTATGATTCGAGATTTCACTAAATTCTCTATTGTCCCCACGAAAATGACTTATTTGGGTAGGGGGTATTTCTTATCTTGTTGGAAGCTTTATAAAGGATCAGTTATTGTATCTTTGAGCTGATGAAATAGTTTAACACTGCTCAAAACTTGTCCAAGATGCTGATATGTATCTTCAGTTAGACCATTTGAACACATGACTAATACACAGACCAAAGAGAACATTGTTTAAAAGAAATCTTATCAAGAATCATGTAATAGATCTTAGGCTATTTGGATTTCCTCACAGGAAAATAGAAGCAAAGGCAGTGACAGCAATACTCAAAGTAGGAATTGAGCTCTGCTCCATGTGGATAATGACAACATCTGCATCTGTTGTGAACTTGCTCCCAAATCGGAGCCCTGTGTTTTTCAGCTTCCTGATGAACATTTCTACTTTGTACTGCACAATCGCCTCACTGTTAACATTCTGAAATCCACTCATTTTTCCTCTCCATATTTCTTTCTTACACACCTGTTCTTCTTGTCTGCCAGATGTTTGCTTTATATCACAATTGTCTTTTCCCCCTAATCTTGGCAACTCAGCATCATCTTTGATTCTGTTACTGATTGGGTCTGAGATGGAGATAAGTATGCAGGAGGTTTAGCGTGTAGGAGCATGTAGGGGTGCTCTTGGGATCACTACCTGTGGAAAGGAAGGGAAGGAAAGAAAGAAGGATTGGGAAGAGATAAAACTTGGGATGCAATGTACTCTTACCAAAGCCTAGAGCTGACCTCGTTAGCAGTTTTAAATCTAGGATGTCCCTTCAGTACTGGCCTGTGTTGGGGTGATGGGACTGAGGCTTTTGTCTCCACTTTGGCCAGTCACTGGATACAGGTTGCCCCAGGAAACAAGTAGTAGATGTAGGACAAAGTGACTTTTTCTCAGCCAAAGAAATTTGGCTAAAAGGGCTAAGAAGTTCTTCAGTCAGGAAGAGATCTTGTCAGCACATAACAGTATCCACTGGAGACTCCTTTAACACAAACAAACAAACAAACCCACAAAAAGCTATTATACATGATCAGATCTTGTTTTCTTCATGATTTTAAATTTCCAAATCTCATCTCTTGCTGCCCAACCACCAATCTAGGTTAGGAGCTTATAGTGCCTAACATAGGCACTTATGAATAAGTAGGACCTCCTAAATCAGATCTATCCAATCCATCCCTTATCCATCGCATTTTTCAACCTCATGAAATGCTTCCATGAGCCCATAATTAGCCCGTTTAGTAACTCGTTGGCTCTCCATTGGCAACAGAATAAAATGCATTTCTTAGCTTATGATTCAAGAACAACCACTGTCTGTCTAAATAATATAGGTGTTGTCACCCCAATCTTCCAAGCACATGTTTTGCTTTGTTAGTGCCATTGATTTTTTTTTTTTACATTTAACACCTAAAATAAAAGATCTACTTGGCTTATATGGAAATCAAATATCACATAGTTATCTGGTCATATTTACAGGGATATTATGTCCAATAAGCCATATTTACCTACAATTTTACTTAGGTCCTGTAGAGAAAAATAAAAAATAAAAAAAAAGGGGTTGAGGATTTGCAAGAGGACATAGTTACACAGATCTAATGTACAATGATATTTGAACTTCTGTGGACTTGTTCTTATGAGTAACATCTTCCATTTTAATTAAGGTCAGATGAAAACTTTGGCATTATCCATGCTGAGTCCTGAGTCTCAATCATTCAATGAATGAGTTGCTAGGACACTTAGTTCAATTAGCTATGAGGTATACACATGGACAGAATGTTTTACAAAACTTGGCCCTACTGACTTGAGACTCTCACATGTATTACAAAAACAAGTGTATCCCCATGGAGGTCTGACTGTATATCTGCCTTGTAAGATCATGGAATGTTAGTTGTGTTTAAGTTCCTTTAACCTTCTTTCTCAATTTATACCTTGTTTACCACTAAAAATAGACACCTAGCCTTAGTTGTTTTGGTTTTAAGATTGTTTCATTTATGAGTATATACTATTCTGTGGCTGATTTTTTTTTCTCCCTGATTTCTCTTCCCCTGAGTTCCAAGTACTTTTCACAAAGAAAACCTTGTTCATAATTAAACATTTCTTACCTCAGGCTTGGTTTCAGAGAGAAACCATTCAATCAAAAGAGTGATGGAATTCTGTCACTCTGATGTTATTTTTAGAAGTTGTTTGGGTTTTGATTGACACATGTTTTGTGGTCTGTGTGTATGTTGCTGGGGATAATTTAATTTTAAGACATTAATAAGAAAAGCTCATTGACTCAGTCAAAGGGAAAATGACTTTTTGAAGTCACCACACAGTTTTAAGAAGGGATCATAGACAAGGAGAAAACGGCCAAGGAAACTTTGGTTTAGCTGGAGTGTCGTGCCATAGTCAGAGGATTCTGGGGGAAATAGAAAGCCCTAAGAATTAGTTCATATGTGAAACCCCACCTGCCATTTTGGTTGATTTCCTTTCTTATATCCTATAGGCAAATTTCCAGTGCCTACTGGTTTCAGTTTAATAGGTGAGAAAAGCATAACACACATAAATAAGGTTTAAAAAACTTTTAAAGGCTCAAGAAAGAACTAAATGCATTCAGAAAAAAAGAAAAAATTAGATCTAGCCCAGTCTGAAAGGAAAAATAATGGCAGTTGAAATGTTGAAATTTGATTGAAAGATTTGAGATATAGTATTTGAAATATAGTATTCTAAATCATTTAATTTAGAATACCATTAATTTTTAAATATTTTGGGATTGAAATCAGTTCATAATGTAGCTAGAGAATTTAATTCAAATGTAAAGGAAGGACACCTGATATGCACTTCAATATCATTAAATTTAGAGGTCAGAATGAAGGCAGAAGAAGAGAGAAATGATTCTGCAGGACCAACCCATGTGGTAACATATTTATGCAGACCACCCCAACATGATCGGAATATTACTGCCACAGTGGGGCACACCTTGAAATATGATGAAATGTTTCAAGGTTGTTAAATAAGAAAGAAGTTACGAACAGAATTGTTTTCATCAAATTTTCACTGTGTAATAACACATTGTAAAACCAATATAGGAGTGGATTTACAAATTCTGGGCATACATAAGCCTCTCTGATGACTTAGCTAAGCTGGTTTTGAAAAGAAAGTGCAACATAATGGTGAAGATTATTCAATTTTGCTCGTGGAAACAATTGGGCACATAATGAATCAAGAAAAATGCTGAGATCGTTGAACAACAAAACTCAACACGATCATTTTTTGAAATCTTCCGTGTTGTTATGGTGATTTGTGTATTTAGAACTTAACAATGTGAATGGCATGAAGAATAAGTGATTATGCATTGCTGAATGCCTTTACAAGAGTTCGCTAAGAAGAAATTACTGCTTTATCATAAATGTATTGTTACTGCTTGAATGATGATAGCTGTATATTTGTCCCTTTACTCACTCAGCAAACACTATTCATTTCAAGGTTTTGGTGTTACATCAAGCAAAAGACTCCAACTGAGAAATGGTACTATTATATACACACACATCTCCCTTGGAGGGTTTCTGCTATGAATCAATATTATGGAATGACTGTGTAGCATAAACAGTACATAGCATCTTTTAGATAATCATATTTAGAAACAGAAATCCTTTTATATGTGTATTGTTATAGTTTCATGTTAAAGAAGGTAAAAATCAGCAGAACTACTTTTAAAAAAAATCTTAGAGTAATACCTCCTTCCCATGAGCGTTAGTAAAGATAGGAAAGATGATCGTTTTATGCTACATATTTTCCTATTGCCAGGTCAAGTATTATAAAATTTAATACATATTGTTGTAGGACTTTCTCCTTAGTTCAGCTGGAAACAGTGTTCTTGTCACACAACCATGAAAAATTAGGCTCACAGACACTTTGAAGGGTGAGAATGGCAGGGTTTATTGGGTAAAAACAAATAAAAAGGAACAGGGACTCTCAGCAAAGCCGGAGTCCTGCTACCAGGTTTCCTGCCTCATAGATTGAATCCCAGGTTCCACCCCAGAACAGGAGAGGCCAGGCTCCTGCCCCCTGCAAATGGAAAGAACTTACCGGCTCCACCCCATTCTCCCTGTACACAGGCCAATTAGAGTTTCTCTGGGGACCCCTTTGTACCTGGCTGTCTCAATATGAAGAAAAAGTAGTCATACTAAGATTTTTTTTTTCTAGAACCAACTATCTAACATAACTGTCAATAATTAGAAACAAAACTGTACAAAAATACTTATTATATAAATTTTTAAATAAATCCTTGCTAGGACTTTGCTCTCTGAAATTTGAAAGTATATTTTAAAACAAATTAATGCTTTATCTCCTTCCTAGGAATGTATTCCTCACATTGTAACAAGTTGATAACCAGAATTATAATTGCTAGTGAATCCGTTTTCTTATTCTATTCTCTGCTCACACATGTTTTAAGATGCCATGCGGTTACCAGCAGTGAATCCGTATGGGTCTGCAGCAACCTCAGTTCTTGCCTCCTCCAAAGAAAGAATTCAACCAAGGAGGCAGAACGCAGGAGAGATGGAGGCAATAGAGCATGAGTAAAAGTTTATCATAAAAGCTTTAGCGAAGGAATGAAAGGAAATAAAATACACTTGGAAGAAGGCCAAGCGGGTGACTTGAGAGATCAAGTGCCCTATTTGACCTTCTGACTTGGGGTTGGCATATTTCTAGGGTCTTGCATCTCTTCTCCCCTGATTCTTGCCTTGGGGTGGGCTGTCTGCATGTGCAGTGGGCTGCTGGCACTTGGGAGGTGAGCAAGTGCAGTGTGTTTACTGGACTTGTATGCGTGCTCAGGTGAGGCATTCTTCCCTTACAAATCGAATGAACCTAGAAGGTCATATAACAAGTAAACTCTGCCATTTTGCTTCTTAAAGCTCATGCTTGAGTCCACTCCCTGAACTCCTGCTGATTGCATCACCAGTTTCAGGTTTTTTTTCTATCTATTGGGAGACTGCCTTTTCCTGGCGCTGGCTGTGACCAGTTATTATTTTAGAGAGGCAGTTAACAACCACCTGCCCATCACCTGATGGTGGCCCGACATTCCTGGTGGAGAGCAGGGAGAGCTCCCTCCTGCCCCGCTCAAGCCTTGTTACTACCTACTGTAACAGTGCTATATAGATTGTCATGATGATTTTACAGGTGTATACGTATCCCCAAATTCATGAAGTTGTACATATTAAATATGTACAGCTTTTTTAATACCTTATTAAAGTGGTGTAAAAATAGTCGTGCTACATATGACTATTTTGTCATGGCCACTACTGTCATCTTGAGCATTGCAAATTAGTTATTCTAGATGAAACAAAAAAGGCTTGCCTTTGACAATTTCTCAACATGTTTAGTATTTTCCAGGTTCAACCAATACCACTTTGAACTGCTCTAAATCAAGTAAGCCAGAATGTGTCTGGCAGCTGAACTACTGTGAACCTAATAAATATTATCATCATTTTCTATTGCTAATCAGGAGTTGCATTTTAGGCAATGCAAAGTGGGTGGGGTACTCACTTTCTGTAGATGATTCATGGAACTAACAATACATAATACAGCATCAAATTAAAAACTTATTTAAGTCCAATCTATGTGAAATAGAACAAGTGACAAATGACATAGGTTACTAGTAGTAAGTGGTAAGGGAGCTGGGTTTTGATTTTTTTTTAAACAAATTCTTTTCTAATGCATTTATTGCAGGCACAGAGCAAGTAATCTTACCATCAGAGTTTTTGTACTGCACTCTATTTTCCTTTTCAAGAAAGGAATTTCATGAATTGTTTTAAGCACAGCTGAGTGTTATTGTTCCTATTTTGTGCATTACTGTTAAAGTTCTCATTTCCTTTTCAAATGTGTAATTTTAAAGACGTGATGAATTCTTAAGAATAATTTTATGATGATTAGGAAAGCAATTTTTCGAGCTATATACAATTTAAATTTTATAGTGACAATCATGAAAAATAGAAATACACTTTGCAGCAAATTTGCGAAATTATTTCTGCTAAATGAGTGACTCACATAAAGCAATTTGGGTTTGTTTTATTTTATTTTTTGTCATTACATCATGCAGCTGTTTTCCTCTATCCCAAGAATGTAACTAGTGATTGTAGGATCATTTCAAATACTCAATTGTAAAATGGCAGTTTTACATATCTGTGGTGATTTAAAACTCTCACACACATGGGTGTTAATGGAAACTAGTTACTTTATGAGTATTAAGATAATTTATTAATCTTAAATATAACTTTTCTCATTGTGGATGTTTTTGGTGAACAAATACATTACTTCACAGTTATTTTTGTGGTGAGAACACTTAATATCAACTCTCTTTGTGTTTTTTAAGAATACAACATGATTATTATCTATGGTTGCCATACTATACAATAGATCTCTCCTCCTATTTAGCTGTAATTATGTTTCATTTGAGAACATCTCCACATTCTTCCCTCCAAACCACTCCAGCCTCTGTTAACCACCATTCTATTCTCTACTTCTATGAGATCATTTGTTTTTTGATTCTACATATGAGTGAGATCATGTGACATTTTTCTTTGTGTGCCTAGCTTATGTCACTAAACATACTGTCCTCCAGATTGATTCGATTTGTGATAAATGACACGATTTCCTTCATTTTTATGGCTGAACAGTATTCCATTGTGTATATATACTATGTTTTAAAAATCCATTCATCCATTGGTAACATTTAGGTTGATTCCACATCTTGGCTATTGTGAATAGACGCTGTAATAAAAATGAGAGCAGATACCTCTTCAACATAATGACTTTATTTCCTTTGGATCTATACCATTAACAAAAGTGTTAGATCATGCGGTAGTTCAATATTTAATTTATTCTGGAACATCCATACTATTTTCTATAATGACTATATTAATGTATATTCCCATCAACAGTTGATAAGACTTCTGTTTTCTCCACATCCTTGCCAACACTTGTTATCTTTTTTCTTTCTGATAATAGCCATTCTAACAGGAGTGACATAATATCTCATTTTGGTTTTGATTTGCATTGCTGTGATGAATAATGATATTGAACATTTTTATATGCCTGTTAGTCCTCTTTTGGGAAATGTGTGTTAATGTCTTTGCCCATTTTAAATTGAGTTATTTGTATTCTTGCTATTGAGTTGTTTCAGTTTCTTATACATTTTGAATATTGACAAAATTTAACCTACATTTATCATAAAAGCACTCCATGAATGTATCAGATGTGTAGTTAACCAGATGTATAGTTTGCAAATATTTTCTCCCATTCAGTAGGTTGTTTCTTCTGTCGATTTTCTCCTTTGCTATGCAGAAACATTTCAGATTTTGGTAATTCCACTTGTCTATTTTTTTGCATTTGTTGTCTGTGTTTTTGGAGGCATATTTAAAACAAAACAAAACAAAACAAAACAAACCTTGCCCAGACCAATGTCATGGAGTTTTCTCCTGTTTTGTTTTTGTTTTTGTTTTTTTTTAGCAGCTTTATAGTTTTGCATCTTATGTTTAAGTCTTGTTCCATTTTTAATTGATTTTATATATGGTGAGAAATAAGGATTTAGTTTTATTCTCTGCATATGTATATCCAATTTATCCAATACCATTTATTAAAGAGACTGTTTTTTCCCCCATTTTGTGGTCTTAGTGCCTTTGTAGGAAATCAATTGGCTGTGAAAAAGTAAATTTATGATTTTTTTTTATTTCTGTGAAGAATGTCATTGGTCCTTTGATAGGGATCGAATTGCATTGTAGATGACTTTAAGTAGTATAGACATTTTAACAATATTACTACTTTCAATCTACGAACATAAAGTCTTCCTTTTTATTTGTGTCTTCTTCAATATGTTTCACCAATTTTTCATAATTTTCAGCGTAGAGATCTTTCACCTCCCTGGTTAAAATTTTTGGAGTATTTTTTTATACCTATCAAAAAGGAGATTATTTTCTTGATTTCTTTTTCAGGTAGTTTACTGTTAGTGTACAGAAACACTACTGATTTTGATTTTTGTGTTAATTTTTATCCTGCACCTTTAATAAATGTGTTTGTTAGTTCCGACAACTTTTGGTGGAGTCTTTAGAGTTTTCTATAAAACGGATCATGTCAGCTGCAAACAAGGATACTTTAACTTTTTTTTTCCAATTTGAATTCCTTATATTACTTCCTTTTGCCTAATTGTTCTGGCTAGGACTTCTAGTACCATGTTAATAGAAGCGGTGAAAGCAGATGATATGGTTTGGCTGTGTCCCCACCCAAATCTCATCTTGAATTGTAGCTTCCGTAATTCCCACTTGTTGTGGGAGGGACCCCGTGGGGAGATAACGGAATCATAGGGGTGGTTTCCCCCATACTGTTCTCGTGGCAGTGAATAAGTCTCACAATATCTGACAGTTTTATAAGGGGAGGCTCCTTTCGCTTGGCTCTCATTCTCTCTCTTGCCTGCTGCCATGTAAGAAGTGACTTTTACCTTCCACCATGATTGTGAGGCCTCCCCAGCCACATGGAACTCTGAGTCCATTAAACCTCTTTTTCTTTATAAATTATCCAGTCTCAGGTATATCTTTATCAACAGCGTGAAAACAAACTAATACAGTGGATGTCCTTGTTTTGTTCTAGATCTCAGGGGAAAAGATTTCATCTTTCCCATTTAATATGTTAGTTGTGGGATTTTCATATATGGACTTTATTATGTTGAGGTATTTGTCTATACCTAATTCATGGAGTGTTTTTATGATGAATGCATGTTAAATTTTGTAAAAAGGTTTCTTCTGCATCTATTGAAGTGATCATATTATTTTTGTTGTCCACTCTGTTAGTGTGATGTGTCACATTTATTAATTCGCATATGGTAAGCCATCCTTTCATCTCTGAGGTAAATCTAACGTATCACAATGAATGATGTTTTCCATTTGCTGTTGAATTTGGTTTACTAGTATTTTGTTAAGGATTTCAAACCTATGTTCATCAGGAATATTGGCCAGTAGTTTGTGTTCAGATTTAATTGTATCAGGATAATGCTGGCCTCATCTAATGGGTTTGGAAGTATTTTTTTCCTGTTTCAATTTTTTAGAAAAATCTGAGAATTGATATTAGTTCTTTAAATGTCTGGTAGAATTCAGCAGTGAAGCCATGAGGTCCTGGGCTTTTTACTGATGGGAGACTTTTTATTTCTTTTTAATCTCCTTATTCAATATTGGTCTGTTCAGAGATTCTACTTCTTCATAATTCAATCTTGGTAAGTTGTGTATGTTCAGAATTTATTGATTTCTCCTAGGTTATCCAATTTGTTGGAATATAATTGTTCATAATGTTCTCTTATACTATTTTGTATACCTATGGCATTGGTTGTAATGTCTGCTTACTTGTCTCTGAATATGTGTTGAGTATTCTCTTTTTTTCTTACTCTAGCTAATGGTTTGTCTACTTCATTTATCAATTCAAAAAACTAACTCAGTTTTGTTGATCTTTTCTAAGGCTTTTGTAGTCTGTATTTTATTTATTTTTGCTCTATCTTTATTATTTCCTCCCTTCCTTCTTATTTTAGATATGGGTTTTTTTCTTTAGTAGTTCTTTGAGATACAAGATTAGGTTGTTGGAGATTTTTCATATACTCTGATGTAGGCATTTATTGCTATAAACTTCTTTTTTAGAACTACTTTTGCTATATCCCGCAGAATATGTTGTGTTCCCATTTATATTTGTCTGAAGAATATTTTAAATTTCATTTTTAAATTTTTTCATTGTCCCATTGTTTGTTCAGGGACATGCTTTTTATTTCCATTTATTTGGGAATTTTCCAACGTTCCCCCTGTTATTGATTTCTAGTTTTATGTCACTGTGGTCTGAAAAGATACGTGATATGACTTTAATCTTAAACTTGTGGAGGCTTGTTTGATGGTCTAATATAGCATCTATCCTGGAGAATATTCCCTGTGCAAGTAAGAAGGAGGTGTATTCTGCAGCTGTTGGATGGCTTGTTCTTATGTCTGTATACCTGCTATATTCATTTAGTCAGTAGGACAGTTTCAACATGATGTTTCTATGTTGATTTTCAGTCTGGATGAACTATCCATTGCTGAAAGTGAGGTGATGAAGTCGCTTACTCTTAGTGTATTTCAGCCTATCGCTTCCATTTTATTAATATTTACTTTATATATTTAGGTGGTCCTATGTTGGGTGTATATATTTATAATTATTATATCATCTTATCGAATTGACTACTTTATAATGACCTTTTTGTCTCTTTTCACAGATTTTGGCTTAAAGTCTATTTTATCTGATATAACTATACCTAGCCTTGCACTTTAATGGTTTCCATTCCCTCATTTTTAGTCCATATGTGCCCTTACCTGTGAAACTGTCTCTTGTAGTGCATTTCAACATATAATTGAGTCATTTTTTTAAATTCATTCAGCTATTCAGTGTCTTTTCATTAGAGAATTTTTTTATTATTTATATGTAGGAACTTACTGCTGTCTTTTTGTTACTTGTTTTCTAGTTGTTATACAGATTCATTCTTCCTTTCTTTCTTACTGCTTTCCTTTGTGATTAAGTAATTTTCATGAAAATTGTTTTATTCTTTGCTTTTTCTGTTAGCGTATCTGTTATAGGCTTTTGAGTTAATGTTACCATGAGGCTTATGAAAATCATCTTATTGTTGTAACAAGTTATTTTAACCTGATAACAGCTTAAGTTTGATTGCAAAAAAAAAAAAAAAGACAAAGCAAAAGCAAAAATGTTTACATTTTTACTCGACTCCTCCCTAACAGTTTGAATTTTTGATGTCACAATTTACATCATTTTATATTGCATATCGATTAACAAATAATTTTAGTTATTATTATTTTAATAATTTTGTGTCTTAACTGTCATATTAAAATGTTTGGTTGCTACACCATCATAGAGTAATAAAATATTCTGAATTTTTGTGTACTTACATTACAGTGAGTTTTGTACTTTCAGTGATTTTTGTTTTACTCACTGGTGTCCTTTCCTTTCAGCTTGAAGAACTCCTTGTAGCATTCTTTGTAAGGTGGTGACTAACTCTCTGCTTGTGTTTGTCTGGGAAATTATTTATTTATCTTATTTCTGAAAAACAGCTTTGCAGGGCATAGTATTTTTTGTTGACAGTTTTTTCCCCCAGCACTTTGAATATATCATCCTGCTCTCTCTTAGCCCGTAAGATTTTTCTTCAGATGTCTGCTATTGGCTTATTAGAGCTCTCGTCATTTGTGGTTTGCTTCTTCGCTCCTGCTGCTTTCCAAATCCTCTTTTTTCTTTGATTTTGACAGTTGCAGTATAACTTGAGGGTAATCTTTTTTAAATTAAATCAGAATGAAGACTTTTTACCTTCCTGTAAATATTTCTATCTTTCTCCAAGTTTGGAAAGTTTTCTCCTTCAATTTTTAAAATAATATTTTACCTTTAACTGTCATTGCTTTTTTTTGAATGCCAATGATTATTATATTTGCTCATTTAAGGTTATCCCAGAAATCCTGTAGGCTTTCTGCATTTTCTTTATTTTTATTTCCTTTTTCCCCTTTGTATATTTTCAAATAACTTGTGTATCAGTTTAGAGAATCCTCTTCCACTTACGAAGTTCTTCTGTTGATACTCTCTATAGATTTTTAAAATTTCATTTGTTGTAATTTTTAGCTCTAGGATTTCTGTTTGATTTAATATTATTATTATTTCAATTTATTATTTCCTCATCATAGTCACAATGTTTTCTTCATACCTTTAGCTGTTTTTCTGTATTTTTTTGACATTTGTTGAGCTTCCTTAAAACAGTTATTTTTACTTTATCGTGAGGCATTTTTCATACATCTCCATCTTTTCAGGGTTAGTTGTTGCCAATTACTTTTGTCCCTTTGGTGACTTCATGTTTTCCTGATTATTCTTGATTTTTTTGGTCATGTGCTGATGTCTGCATACTGTAGAAGTAGATACTTATTCCAGTCTTTGCAGTCTGCCTTTGTCTATGAATATCCTTCAGTGTTAAGCCTGTCCAGAGGTTAAGAGTGGGCCACCTGGTGTGATCCTTAAGCCCGTGACCACTGCAGCTATTGCAGTACTAGGGGGTGCCCTATATCCTGAACCACCATGGCTGGTATAGTGACTGGTCAGAATTTTATGGATACAGAGCCTGCCACAATGCAGGGCTAAAAGTCCATGAATTCTATAATTAGTGCGGTGCTAGGGTGTGCTTGAAGCCCATAGTTGCTGAGGCTAGTGCAGCAGTGGGTCATGTCTAAATCCCATGACCTCTGAGGTCTGCCTGTTGTGGTAGGTTATTTAGAATCCAAGGCTGCTATAGTTGGCCAGTAGTTATGTGAACTAGAATTTGAGTCATTCTTGCAGGGCCTGGGGGTTCCTATCTTGCACTATGGTGGGTCTAAAGGATCAGGCTACAGATACCAGGCTAAAATCAGAGATCATGCAGGTCTACCTAATGCTGGTTTTTACTGTGGTGGGCCTGGTATTTGTGTCCAAGGCAAAGTTCTACGATTGCTTACCTCTCTTTCTCCCAAGTGAACAGTGTCTCTCTCTGCTCTGTGCTACCTGGGGTTGGAGGTTGGGTAACATGGGAAATGCAAAAATGTCCGTTCTACCTTTTTTGGTGTGTCTTTTCTAATTATTGTGCTATGACAAGGTACAGTCATCTTTTACTTGGTTTTCGTAGCTCTTGTGAGATATTTTTACCTATGGATAGTTGTCGAAATTGATGTTTCTTCCGGTGGGTGATCACTGGAGAGTCTTAATTGACAGTCTTGCTCGGCCCTCCTCAGGTTTGACTATTCTTAATGTCCTTTTTCTATTGGGCACCTTTAAATGGAACACTTAAAACAGACACGCATCTTTTAATTATTTTACAGATGAGTAAAAGAATCAAATGTGAATTTATTCAAGGTAATAAATATTGGTTTAAAGAAATTACCATAGATCTTAATATAGAGAAAATCATAATTGTGGCTTACCTATAAAGAAGGCTTGGTGCTGGGCATTTTCTTCTTCATTTTTTAAATTCTGTACGTCTTTCCAACACAAATGCCTTCTAAACACTGATGATGCTGTAATTCTTATCTCCAGCCATGAATTCTTCATAAAATCTGAGACTTATTTCCAAATTCCTCTAGTTAGAGGACTCTAGAAATCTTACCACCCCATGAGGATAGTTATAATGATCTGAAGTCCAGGTTCCCCTGTAACAAAGCTTGTCAGGTATTTGAAAAAAAAGAAAAGATGTAACACTGAATAAAAAAGAAACAAAATATAAGGAAAAAATAACTTGGAATAAATAGAAATTGTACAGGGGAAGGAAAGCTTAAAAAATTAATATTTTTAGATAGATCCAAATAATTTATTTAAAAATGCTATAATAAATAGTGTTTGGAAATTAAAAATAAGACATGGTAAATTAAAAATGTAATAGGAGACATTTAAAAAAATAGTCAATATGTTTAGAGAAATAAAGTTGAGAAAGGAAATCATCCATTAAGTAAAACAACATAAGGCAATGTAATAGAAATATATAATAGGTAGGGTAATAAAGTGTGATAACAAATATTAAAATAATGAAAATTATACAAAGAGAAACTTTAAAAGATGCATTTATTATATAATAATTTACTGTGAGCTATGTGTTTTCAGAATTAAAAATAAAAAGAGAATGTCCAGCCAAATGGATGAACATACACTCACATAGAGACATGTAATTATGAAACTTCAGAACCATAAGAGTAAAATGAAGGTTCTGCAGCTTCCTGTGGGGACAAAAACAACAGCAAACAGAAAATATATCACATACAAAGGATCGAAACTCAAAATGGCTTTGGACTTTCCAACAGCGATACTGGAAGCTAGAAGATAATCCAGTTGTGCCTATAGAATTCTGAAGGAGATTATCTCCAGTATAGAATTCTATAGTGAGCTAATTATTAATGAGTTGTTAGAATGAACACATACATTCTCAGACAAACAAAACGTCACGAAATTTACCCCCTTTACTTTCATGCCAAGCAAGCTACTAGAGGATTATTTCCATCCATTTGGGCTGCTATAACAAAATACCATAAACTATCAATAACAGAAATTTATTTCTCACAGTTCTGGGGGTCAAGAAGTCCAAGATCAAAGTATGAGCAGATTCATTGTTTGGTGAGGGCTTGCTTTCTGGCTGATAGATGGTGCCTTCTAGCTGTGTCCTTACATGTGGAAGAATCTAACTTGCTCTATTGGGTCTCTTCATTAGGGCGCTAATCCTAATCATGAGGGCACTTACCTTAGAACCTTAACAGCTCATAAACTCCCCACCTCCCAGTATCATTATCTTGCAGGTTAGGGTTTCAACAAATAAATTTTGGGGGACACAAACATTCAGAACATAGCAAGGATGTTCCTTCCAAAAAAAAAAAAAAAAAAAAAAAGAAGAAGCAGCAAACTGGAAAAGAAGACAAGGATTTAGAAAACCAAAGGACTAACAGAAAAGGGTTGTATCTCTAGCATTATGAGGAAGAGAAGTCCCAGAGTGACTATCTGTCCTTTCAAACAAAGAAATGAATAAGGAAGATATTAGAGGGAGCATAAAGAGAGTGCTACATAAAAGGCAAATTAAATTCTGAGGCTGACAAAAAATGAAAGTCCTATATTGACAGCTGTATAGCATGACTAGAGCAGAATCAATTCCGATAGAACTGAGTTCTCCATGTAGGATTGCAAGTAGATTACATTATGTGATTGATCTTGTACGTAATTATAATGAGAGACTACTAAAACATAAGAATAGGCAAACCAACCCCCCCCAAAAAAGTAGCAAGTTAAAAAGGGGCTATAAACAAAAAGCGAGAAAAAAATAATTATTGTACACTACACTGATAAATTTTGAATAATACTTGCAAAGTTATATTAATACAAATATCTAATATTATTAAACCAAAAAAGGCAGGATAACTAAACTGCTATGATAAAAAATGGGGAATAGAGGAAATAACAACGTAAGAGTTAAAATCTCAACTAAAATCAGTCAATAGAAAATATTTAAAATTAATAAATCAACAAATAGATACGCATGCATATTATTTAGAGATATATATAAGATATATATACAAGAATGCCACAGTAAAGAGTGGATAATGGTGATTTTGAGAGATAAAGCAAAGAAATGTCTACTTTTGTTAGGAACCGTTTAATGCCATTTAACTGGTTGGGTGCAGTGGCTCATGTCTGTAAGCCCAGAGTTACGGGAGGCTGAGTGAGGTGGAAGGACTGTTTGAGGCTGGGAGTTCAAGACCAGTCTGGACTAATATAGTGAGCCCCCATATTTACAAATAATTTTTTAAAAATTATCCAGGCATGATGGTGCATATCTGTAGTCCTAGCTACTCAGGTGGCTGAGGCAGAAAGATTCCTTAAGCACAGGAATTAAAAATTACTGTGAGCTATGTTTATGCCATTGCACTTTAGCCTGAGTGACAGAGACCCTGTCTCAGAAATTTCAAAATATCATTTAACTTTGTTTTTGCTTGTTAATTAGGTACAATAACAATACATTCAAAATAAGAATATATTTCCATGATATTTGGCGAGGAAATATATTTGGTTAGATGTACAAAAAACTATTGAAGAATAAAATCGATGAATTCAATAATATTAAAACTTAAAACTCATATACCAAAAAAAAAAAAAAAGAAAAAGAAAAACGGTAACAAAAATAACAAGAAAACTACAGGAAGAAAATGAAGCCATTACATAGATTGGGATAATATAATTGAAACTTAAACAACAAATGAAATATTTATTTTCAGAATATACAAAGTTCTAAAAATAAACCAGAAAATAATTGACCTTGTAGAAAAATGAGCAATTGGTCATAACAGAAGAAAAAATTCAAATGTCCAATAAATATAGGAAAATTTACAAATGCAAATTAAACAAAAACATGACACTTCTTATTGGCTATATAGGTAAAAATATAAATTTCCGGAATACCAAATATTTACTGGCAAGTGGGGAAGAGAAATTTTGCCTCATATACTACTTAAAAGTCTAGGTTGGTACAATCACTTTTACAAATAGTTAAACTGTCATCGTATGGCGGAGTTGAAAGTTAATATTCCTGATAAGATAAATGTTCCTGATAAGAGAATATTTACACTAACAGAATCTTAGTTTAATTCACATATACTGATCTAATTACTGCAACTCACACTTTTATTATTGCCTTTATTTTGTAGATGAGAAATTGAAGCATACAGAATTAATTAGCTTCTCCAAGGCTACCTAGCTAGTTTTGCTTGTGTTAAAACGAATCAACTAGATAATATGGAATATACTGGAAAATATATTGTTGAGTAAGAAGTAAAAACAAATTGTTGAGAGCACATAACAGTGATAAATGTATAAAGTTTTAAAACACAAAATAAAGTTTTATGTGTATTTAAATAATACAGTGACTTATTCCAAAATCAGAAAAGCACAGATGTGGAAGACACCCACCAAACTGAAGATAGTATTGGTCTCTCCGGAGGCAGGATCAAAATATCAGGAAGAGCTTCAAAGCTATGTCATATTTTATTTTTTAAAATGATCCAAAATATATGGTAAGATTCAAATACTTGTTAAATCTGGGAGGTGTGACATAGTTATTTTTGTATTATTCTCTCTGATTTTCTATCCACGGGAATAGGAATATTTCATAACTTTAAAAAGGGAAATGATGTAATCGGTAACATTGTTGTCTCCTCTTTAATCTCACAGATATTCCTAGGAGCAACCCTTGTTATTTTTTATGATCCATACACAATAACCAATATTTTAAATATATTATACAAAAGTATTGTAGAGAAGGAAAAATAATTTTTTTCTCTACCCTACTGGGTTCCTAGCTGGAATAGACCCCTGCAACAAAGGACAAATGAAGAACATAAAAGCAAAAAGAAGTTTATTAACTTGTATACCTCATTTACATGTGGGAGATACCCAGAAAAATGAGTAAGTCAAAGACATGGCTTAGAGATTAGGCCTAAATACCACCTTCAACTGAAACAAAGAAAGAAGGATATGGGCCAGGGTGCAGTGATGGTAAGGTGACCAAGAAAAGTATGGTAATCCATGATAAATTCTATTATGCAGACTTAAACCAGTGCCTTCTCCACTGAAAAGAGTCTCTGGTGATTTAGTTATCCTTTTCTTCTGGGTACTGAAAGGAAGCCACCCTTGCAAATGGAACATTCCTTTAGAGATAAGTATTTCTCTTTAAAAAGAGTAACTTCTACTTCATTTTCAGAGCTTCTTTGTTGTCTGCAGTTTCTCAAAATAATCAGCTCAAAATAATCCTTATGGAGACATATTTTGGGGTATCCTATCCTGGTTTCCTACAGTATCATGTATCTTATTGTAGGAGGGGGATGATAGTCTTTTTATTTTACTTATTTTAGATTCTTTTTCTTCTACTCATCATAGAGATGGCTCTACCCATCTGGCTGGAGCCCTGTAAATTACACTGGAAAAAGACAGATTAACAAGAAACTAAAACTAAATAGAAATTTATTAACATGCACACCATGCACATGCATGTATATAGGAGTACCCAGTAATGAGTAATCCAAAGGGGTAGTTAGAATATAGGCTTATATAACATCTTAGGCTCAAAAAAGAAAAAAGCGTTTTGGGCTTCTGGGCAAGGGGTACTAGTTGGGAAAGTGGCTAGGAGAAGTATACTAAACAAGGGTTGTTTTAGTGAGGTTTGTTATACAGATTTATGTAGGTGTCTTCTCAATCCATAAGATTTAAGAGTTATCCATTGCCTGATATGGGAAAGGGAGATATCTTTTACAAATAGAAATCTCCTTTATACATGTAAATTTATTTTACAAAATGAAAATTTATGCCCTGTTTTTAGAGCTTTTCTGGTGTCTGCCATTCCTCAGGGGCCTTTAGCTCAAAATAATGCATATGCTAAAGAGGTGTATTTTGGGGTTGCATATTATGATACCTTTCAATATAAATACAAGAATTAAATAGATGACATAAAATGCATATTCAGAAAAAAAGAAGATTCCTCCTCTCCCACAAGAAAAATTAAATTTATTTTCTCTAAACTAAATCTTTTCTGTATTTTGAGTTTTAAAGTGTGTGATAATAAGGAAAATTTATGAGTATAAAATATCTTCATATACACTTCTAGTCATCTTCCTTTTAGACTGTGAGAACATGAGGCTCCTGTCATTTTACTATGTTTCCTTGTAATGCTTTTGTTACTGGGGAGTATGGGGTCCTTGGTTCCTGTCTTCTTGGAGGAAAGAATTCTGCCAAGTGACACACAGGGGCAATTCAGCAATGGCAATGTTTATTTAAAGGAAAAAGTACATGCTGAAAGCCGAGTCAGGGTGGGCTGCTCCAGAATGAGATGCATTGACTGACACTGGGGAACCCCCTTTATGAGAGTTTTACATGAATATTTACAAATGGGCATAAAGAGGTGTTACCAGTAAGCACATTTTGGGAGGTCTCAAAACATGTGTACTACACTAGTACATATGTCGCATGTTTCATTAGTATTTTAAATCCCCACTCATGGGTGTGTTTTTTACTATTATGATGAGCAAAATGTTACCTTTAGGGTGAGCCAAGTCAAAATGCACATGCTCGCTACTGGGGAAAGTCCCTATTGAAGTGATTTTTCTGCTAGGGCCAGGTAAGTCTCAGTGAGGGCTGGATAAGCCTAACCATAAGCCCAGATGTGGCTACTGTTAATTCTGATTGCTCTAACCACAGAGCATAAATTTTCTTTTTGCATTGATTCCAAGTGGTGCAAGGTATTTAGAGCTTCTGGGGCTTTCTTTCCTGCTATCTGTCTGTCTATCTACCTGTCTATCTAGCTACCTACTCTAATGCTTTTCTTCATACAAATAAATGCAGTAACTTGTCATGAAATTTTAAAAAATAAGAAAAAAGCCACCTTTTGTATAATTATAGTTATATTATTGAATTTCATTAACTTCATCAGATTAATGTAAATTAAATATCTGAGCATATTTAATTTCTAGTTTCTTGGTTGTGGGTTGTGGGCTGTGTAAGTAAGAAAAAAGCCACCTTTTTTTCTGGGTTTCCTATAACCTGACTAGAATTACTAAGGTATCTATAATTAATGTAAATTCAGCTTTCATAAAATTAAATATCTTAAAATATCTGAGCATATTTAATTTCTAGTTTCTTGGTTGTGGGTTGTGTAAGTACTTCAGAACTATCTTTAGTCACACCAACAAAAGAGAAAATCATACTCACTCTCCAATAAGTAAATTACAAAAAAAATACTTATTTCCTTAATAGCTTTTGACATAATAAAATACACTAAAATAAAATAAATGAACTTCTCTCCCTAATCATCAATGGAAAGAAAAGCTAAGCTTCTAATAAAATAAGTGCAAGTTCATTTTCCTGTTTCTTGTTAAAATTATTTAATATGACAAGTGTCTAATACATTATTGCATATCAACACAATATTATCCACTAAGGAAACACCTAATTTGGGGTGGCCCCACGTTTTCAATAGACCCAATTATTCAACCCCTAACATTCTATTCATTATTTTTTTAGGATCCATTAGCAAAATATTCTAAACTATCATTTGTAGTAACAATAAGGAAAGACCGTGACTTGTTAATCCTGGTTATAAGCGTATTGAATGACCTACTCAAGGAAGGAGGAGCAGAAAATAATGAGAACCAGCTGGTTCTAAATCTTCCATTATTTCTAATATATAAGGAGAGAATGAACTATAATTTTTATGGTCTTCATCTGACAATACTTCAAGAAGAGGTCGCTTACTATGGTGATTCATTTTCAAAATTTACACTTTAGTTTACTATACCTGGTGTGGGAACCAGTTTGCTTCAAGAAATTATAATTTTAGGAAATGGAAAAAATATTTTTCCTCTATTCATATTAGGTTTATTGGTTGGGTCCCTGCAAATTAGACTGAAGAAAGATTAGTTAACAAAAGAAAACAAACAAAATAAAAAAAACAGGAGTTTTTTAAGACATACATTGTGCATACACACGTAAGTACGCCGTCATAAGTAACTCAAAGGATTGGTTACAATGTAGGCTTATATAGCATTCTGACAAAAATAATTTTATAGATAAGCAGCAAAACAAAAGAAAAGGACTTTGAACCTCTGCGGCCAGCAAATTGTGGAAAGGCAAATATGTAGGGAGACTAATGGTAGATAAAGCCTAGTTCGTAAGGTTTATTTATCTGGACTTTTTCTCTGTACCTTGTTGTCTCGGGTGATAAAGTGGTTATTCTTTTTCTGATACAAAAATTGAGAAAGAGGAGAGAGACATAGCCTTCACAAAGAGAAGTTGTTTTGTGTGTTCAGGTAGATAGGGGGAGGGCAGAGAGGTCTTCTGGTGTTTGGATTTTTTTTTTTTTCAGTTGCCTTAAGTTCAAAATATTTTTAATGCTCAATTGGGCTATTTTGGGGTAATATTACTCCAAAGCTTTTCATTAAAAAATAGAAAAATTATACAAATGCCTTCCAAAGATCTAGATTATGCATATATAGAAAACACAAACACATACACAAACATACATATAAGTAGCGCAAGTTTCCATGTCAAGTGTACCTATCTGTCTTTACTTTGTTAAATGTATCACCTCTTGCTAACATGTATGTCTTACTATTTAGTAGTGGGAGTAATTCAAAAACACTAAGGTCAATGTTCTGATAATCATCCGATTTTTCCCCATTCTGCTTATAAAACATCAGATTTATAAAAACCTAATGTCTGATTGAGAAAAGGACTCATGAACAAAAATCAAGCCATATAATGTCTAACAAAATTGGTGGTTATTATATGGTAGCAGTTTGACAACCGACAGTTTTCATCCAGACTTAGTCCGATATGTGCATTTACCTTGGCTGTAGAACTGTGTTGTTTATTTCACTTGGAGTTGTGCTGAATTAATAATTTCCCTTCAAAAGGGTATCATTAGTAGCCAGTGGACTTTTCAAGCTGTTTATTTTGAATTTGCAATTCAATTGAATGAAAGGAAATACATATAAATATGGATCATTTCAGATAAAAATAAGGCTTTTGTTTTAGTAGGGAAAATATAGAATAGCTTAACTCAACATCTAGTAGAATATTTATCAATCTAGTTCCCAACATTAATGAGAGCTTCAACTAGCAGCAAATTCTATAGACTTCCTTCTACCTAGAGCTTAAGAGATAAGTCATCAGCTTAAATTTTGGAGTGTGACTGTCACAATGTTTCAACAAAATCAGTCAGATTCTTTAGAAGCTACACAGTTTTCACAGTTATTAATGTATATAGATGTATATGAAAATACATACTGATGTAAATTTCTATGTAGCTCTGCCCAGTGGAAGAGCCTAGGAGCAACAATGCTCCAGTATGCTCCAGTATCATTGAACACACCAGGCGTCTATATCTTGGTTCTTTTTTTTTTTTTTTTTTTTGAGACAAAGTATTGCTCCATCAACCAGGCTGGAGTGCAGTGGCATGATCTGGGCTCACTGCAACTTCCACTTCCCGGGTTGAAGTGATTCTTCCACCTCGGCCTCCCGAGTAGCTGGGATTACAGGCATGCGCAACCACGCCAAGCTGATTTTTGTATTTTTAATAGAGACACGGTTTCCCCATGTTGGCCAGGCTGGTCTTGAACTCCTGACCTCAGGTGATCCATTCACCTCAGCCTCCCAAAGTGCTGGGATTACAGACGTGAGCCACCATTCCTGGCCTAGATCTTGGTTCTTTAGTATCATTTTTGATTAATGGATTATGCCTTCTTGAAAAAAATGATGAATTTTGGTTCTTTAGTATCATTTTTGATTAATGGATTATGCCTTCTTGAAAAAAATGATGACTTTTGGGGCTGAAACAAGACACGTATATATGAATCTAAAATATCTATTTGTGCCAGAAAGTAAGGAAATACCAGAGGATGATGGTAACCTGGCAGAAGTACATAGCAGTGAGTTTAGAGGGGATACCATTGGCCAAATCTGGAACAATTTGAGCATCAAACTATGTAGTGATACTACCGTATTATAACTCACTGAATAAAATAGGAATCTTTCAGTTCATATAGTTATGGACAAAGACATGAGTAAATAAATGGAGAGAAGAGAAAGCTTTTTCTTGTAGAAGAGTACCAACTAGTCAGCGCAGAAGTAATGATGGAATCAGGAAATCAAAATATAGCAATCATTGTAGTGATAATCAATGCTGCTAAGAAATATACTGGCTGAGAAAACTAGCAGGTTAAAATGTGATAGGGAATGGAATATTTACATCTTCTAAATGTACCTCCCCCCGCCCCAAATAATTCTTAATTGTAAAGGGAAGAAATGGTACCTTCCACAGTAGAGAAGCTGGCATGTTATCAAAGTTAGTATCACCATAAATGGAACAAATTAATATCCTGCCCCATCTGAGGAAGCTTCACCACCGTGTATTTCTGCCAAAATACCTACCCTGAATTTCATCCTGAGGAATCAAAAGACAAACCCAAATTGATGCATTGTCAATGGGAGAACTGGCCTGTGATATAGAACTATCAAGGCTGGGTGTGATGGCTTACACCTGTACTCCCTGCCCTTTGGGAGGCTGAGGCAGGTGGATCACCTGAGGTCATCAGTTCAGGACCATTTTGGACAACATCATGAAACCCCGTCTCTACTAAAAATACAAAAATTAGCTTGACGTGGTGACACATGCCTATAATCCCAGGTACTTGGAAGGCTAAGGTAGGAGAATCACTTGAACCTGGGAGGCGAGGCGGGGGTTGCAATGAGCCAAGATTGCACCACTTCACTCCAGCCTGGACAACTGAATGACACTCCATCTCAAAAAAAAAAAAAAAAAAAAAAAAAAGGAACAAGGTTGTGAGGGTAACAGAAAGAAAAGCAACTGTTCTGGATTGAAAGAGGCATAAAAACTAAATGTGACATGGGATTCTGAACTGGATCCTTTTGGTATTGTTGGGGCTCAGAAAACCATACTCAAAAGTGAAGGCCTCAGAAGCAGCCTCGGAAGCAAAGTTTATCTCTGGCCTCCTATTCCGAGCCACTCATTCTCCTCTGAGACAAGCCATGGAAACTAGAATTCATCTCCCCAGAGCAGGTCTTAGGAACCAGAAGCCCTTTTTCCCAAAGCCAGCCATACAAGCTAAAAATATTGTTGTCATATTTTCCTGTCTTATCTGGGTAAGAGCTGGCCATAGAGAAAGTCTCTGACCTTCCTCGTTTGATGGCAGCCATTCCAGAAAGTGTCCAGCACCATATTCAGGAGGAAGGAACACCGCATAGAGAGGCCAAGAAGAATCCAGATAAGCCTGGCTGGGTTTCCCCACCTGGGTCTACTAGAATTAGACCAGATCCTTTTGTCTAATCACAGTTCTGCATGCCTGTCCATTCTTCATTGAACCTAAGCATAAAAATGGATACTTTTCCCTGTTCCTTTAATTCTTCATCCTGAGGGCTCCCATGTTATGTAAAACCATAATGAAATATATTTGTGATGCTTTTCTCTTGTTAATCTGTATTTTGTTATAGGAATGTCAGTCATGACCTTTATGATGGGGTGGGAAGGAGTCACCCCTTTTCTGCTCCAATATTATAAAAAATGGTGGTGCCATAATTGGGGAACTCTAAATAAGCTTTGTGCATTAGATAGTAGTAATAGATGTAAAAACCCTCATTCTAAGGTTTGTCATGGTTATATAAGAGCATATTCTTGTTTGTAGAAATTACAGAGTAAAATACTGGGGATGATGAAAAGTCAGCCAGCAGCTTACTTTTAAGTGATTCAGAAGGAATAAAATGTGCTTCATAGTATTCTTAAAATTTTTGCTGTAAGTTTAAAATTGTCTGAAAAAGAGAAAAATGAGAAAGTAATTAGGAAGATGAAGTAGTACTTTTGAAAACGTACTAATATTAAGGAGTAAATTTTAATTTGAAATTGAACCTAAATAGTAGTTCTAATTGTGGTCACAACTTGAAAGTAAATGACAGATTAATTTTAGAGAGTTTTAATTCTATATAAAATTTAAAAGTTGATCAGTATGAAACTTGAGAATTGTGATATTTGAGGCTAGTCAAGAATCAATGAAACTAATTTAGGCTTAGAAATATCTTTGAGAAGTTGTCATGCCAAAGCTTTTGAAAACATAATTTGTAATTAGATTGAATGTTTTGATTTGGATATAAAACTGACTTAGAAATAATAAGAGCAGAGCAAGTGAAAGAGCTCCCCAATCCTGCCCAAAACTATGTAGATAAATAAATAAATACTGAGGCCTTTTGGGACCTGCTAGTATTGCAGCCAGTGTAAACACAGATGTGTAGTGATGTGGAAAAATGTGTTTAAAATTGAATCTCCAAGTTGACAACTCTTATAGATGATAAAAATCAAATTAATGGATCAACATTTACCAAAGTTCTTTTAAAACCATTTTGACCCCCCAAAATGACAAACAAGCATAATCCAAATATGTGTAGAAAAATAATTCAATGTGTTTTCTTGAATAATAGTTTATTAAATATTAATTATATGATAGCAAGTATGTTGTAGAATGATTAAAATTAATTTTCTAAGTCATTGGTCCTATTTTTGAATAGATTCAAATAGATCAAGGTAATTTTGACAGAACGGGTCAACCATTTTGCTAGTCACTGAGAGATGTCCCTGGAATGATGGTTTGCAGTTGTGGTGTACTAAATATTGAGGGGTGTACTAGACCTGGAGGGAAGTGAAGGAAATATTAAAACTTCCATTTGTCTTTGGAATGAGAACTAAACTTTTAGCTTTGTGCTAAGTGGTTTCTTCAGTAAAATATCAATATTTTATTTATGTTTTTCTTACATTAAGCATCCATTTTAGCTAACCTCACAAAATATACTGTCCCTAAAAACTCAGTCTTCATGTAAACACTTTGATACCAGCTGTTCTTCCATCTAAAATTATTTTCTTCCTCCTCATTGCCTTTTCTTCCTGAAGATGATCCTGTCTTCAGGATCTAGTTCTCTTTCTGCCTTTTCATGGAACATTGCTACAATACTTCATCCGTGTCCGTCTATCCCCTCTGAATATTTACAGCATATGTTCTTAGCATAATTTATTCAGAAAGTAATCATCATTGTCTTGTGACATATAAGGAAGTATTTTCTTACCGTTTAACTCTATCTATACTTCTGCAATACAATTTGAGGTTCTTGAAAGAGGAATCCTGTCTTATTCCTCTTTGGGATAAGGGGAATATTGGTAGACCCAATGTCTACCATGACCCAAATACAGTGCTAAGAGCCGGGAACAGAAATCTAATTATTTCTCTCTTCCGACATGCTTTGTGTTTATATGAAGTTGTGGACAAGTTAATGAAAGATGCAAGGTAAAAATATGAATGCACATTAGCTAATTTGTCTATATTAGAAGCACAGTGAGTTATGAAATGGAAAAAGGGATGTTTGTGGCATGAGATCAGAGCTCTAACAATGCCTCTCCACAAGGAGACTTCCAGTGATGTTTTTCTGGCACTCAGCCCTTAGATATCATTGAATTAATTCACTAAAGCAATCTGTATGCTGTCTATGCTCATTTTAATGTTAATTATTCTGTGTTCCAAAACAAATGTATTTTCTCAGCAGGAATTAAAATTTCAGGAATATAACATAAAAAACCCTGTATCGTTTGAATTTTTCATAGGTTTTTTTCTAATTAAAACATATATTGTTAAGTGCATGTTTGCTTTTCTAAAATAACACCTAGTAATTTGTAATACATTGGTTTGTTCTATGAGTGTGGTTTATGATGGTCTACCTTTTATCCACTGGTGTAATATCTTACGTTTTATCAGTAACCATGGAAATGTTTAGTACATCATCCAACAATAAATAAATAGGCTAACTTCCCAGAAATGAAAGTAAATAATTATTTATTTAATTCAAAGTAGAGAACATAGCATGGATTTAAAAATCTTATGTAAGATCCAATAATCCAAATATTTAATATTTTCTCTTTGGTTTAACATAATGTTCAAATCCGAAAGCCTGCTTTGCTCACCAACACCTCCCACCCAACAAAACTGCCAACATGCCAAACCAAGTGGATTGATTTAACAGCAACATTAAGCTCCCCTGCCAGTGTTTGGTGGAAAGGCGGTTAATCCGGAGTGAAAGGCCTCAAATCTTGCCAACAGGAAACAAAAAAATAAAGAAGAGGCCATCTGTAATACATACTCATAGTTAGTCAGTCCCTGGAGATTCTTCAGCTCTTTGTCTGCAGCATTAAGAAACACATGCTAATATGTTATTCTCTTTTGTTGACTGCTCTAATTGAGATGCCTGACAAATTAATACAGAATATTAAGATTATTAATGCCAAATGGAAAAAGAAGCCTTACTACAAAATGTCATATAAAAGTTATTTGTAAACGCTAAGGAATTAATTTCTTAAATTATTTCAGCAAATGTTAACTTTAATTGTGCTCAATGAATGTTTATGGATGCTTTTGACACAGTGGTTTTTTTTTTTTTCTTTTTTCCCTCAGAGTATATTTTTAGGCAGTTTAGGAAACAAAAGATAAATGAATGATTAGTTGTTTAGTTTGTCTGATTCAAGGCATAGATTGGATTTAAAAGAGCAGGAAGCATGAGCTCTTGAAGTGGCTCTGGGCACACTGCCCCAATTTCTGGATCTCATTGGTAAAATGGACAGAGTAGGGTTACTGGGGGAACTGTGATAATATAAAGTTCTTAGCACCTGTCTGACATTTCTTATTTTTAGTTATATTGTATTGTTTTGTCTTCAAATGCAGCAGATAATCATTTTTTATTCTATAGCTAACATGCTGGCATCATCCAAAAAAGTGACTTCTATTTTTTTTAATTACCATTTTGAAAACACCATGCCCTATAACATCTAAAGACGCATTTACTTTAGTGAGTGGGAATAATGATAATATAATCCCATGGCTTATTCATAAAAGAGAACCTTGGAGATGCTGTGGTAATGAGCAGGTGGTAACAATTCTTGATTATTTATACATTTTTGAGGATATAATGGGATTGAGTCATTGAACTGCTGTTGTATCAATATGTAAATTTCACACATCAGTTTTTTTTAAAGCTGTTTTCTTTTGAATTTAAGAAGGGTAAAAACACACCAGAAATATTTTAAAAGAGAGGCCTCAGATATCTCTTAAACTATCATGTTCTGTTCACATTCGTCACCATCAAACTTATATTCTATCTCTAATATATCCTACACATTGGCACATGGCTCCCAGGAAGTAGTGTCTACAGTAAGAACCGAGAAGGTAATATACTTGCTCTCAATTTCTTCCTTCTTAGGAATGACAGGCAAAATAACTGTCACTTCTGTCAAGTAGCAATAGATACTATTATGAAGTATATCGTGTGGCAAAATCTCTGCTTTAACTGAGTACTTTAAAAGTACTTACCTAATTTTCATTGCTTGAGTACTGTGCTCACCCCTTTGGGAACACCAGAAATTTGATAATTTTCTATCTGAGTTCTAGGAGATTGAAAGCTGTGCGACTTTTCAAAAACTTTCTGACACATGAGTGCTAATTTGAGCAGAATTTAGCTAGCTCTCACAAGTGATGAAAGCGCGGAAGAACCAGTGAGCACTGTCAGTCTTTTAATCTAGTATCTGATTGCTTGTCTAACTGTCATTGGTGAAAAGCAAATATCTTTGTTCTTCTTCTGAGTTCAAGCCGGATGTGCTCCTGTATTTAGCATGACAGGAAATCTCAAACGGCAAAGAATTACATGGATTTAAGGAATCTGATATTCCTGTATTCAAATCTCCCCTCTTGTTCATGATAGAGTCTTCTGTAGAAAATCTATAAAATAGCAAGAATTAAAAACATACTATAAAGTATATGTTTGGCTTATCAGAAATCCATACAAACTACTTTTTCTCAGGGCCTCTTAATAAGAACTGGTTCCATTTGATGAGTGAGTTGCAAACTCTTGAAGGCATATTGACAGATGGTTTCATCTGAACAAACTGATTTTCTTGATTTGCCAAAGTGCCTAAAAATTAGTTTTCAAATTTTTGAATTATATTTAAGGCATTTTGCTTCTGAGAGGTGACTTTTGACAGACCCATATTGCTTCTTATAAGAAACTTAGGTGAATAAGGCACAAAATAGTTTCTAGAATTACTTAATTGTTTTTCAAGGAAAAATGGGGCTCAAAGTGAATGGGCCACAGGGAAGTTACAGCTGGATCCTGTAGAGATCACTGAGAAAGGTCTACTCCCTAGGTCACTGTGCACAGAAAGACAGGCCTACTGTGATTCCACAGAGAAAAATGTGTCCGGCCAATGGACACTCTGAGCACATAAACTACTGAAGGAAGAGAGATTGATGATTTGGGATGCTTGAGAAAAATTTTCCTGCATTTATTCTTAATAATATGTTAGTAATTTAAGCTAGTAAAAAAAAAAAAAGAAATCAATGTAAAGGATTTCCTGACTTCTCTTTTCTACTGCAAATAAAGTAGGTTGATACATTTAAAAAGGGCTATTCTCCTTCTCCTTCAGGTCCTTTATTTCTGCTTCTTCTTCTGTCATATTTTATTTTTTTTCTCACGTCTTTTCCCACCATCCTCCCAGTTGTCTTCCTTCCCAACATCGCCATTTATTTCATATTATATTCTTCAGCATTACACACACGTTATTTAACTGGAAAGTATAATAACTACAGCCATTTCTTAAAATACAACATTAATGGGATGTAATTTGTTATAACATGCCATTTGAAAATACTGCATTTTTTTACTTTAGTAGGATTTCTCTACTAGCAATTGTAATTATTGTATTGTGATGTTTCCTATGTATGCTATAATATATGCTATAACTGCCTACCTTACCTACAGATGAAAACTCTACAAAATGGTTTCTAAAAGTATCTCAAGTAAAATTTGATTTTGTTTCAAATTACCTTTAAATTTTTAACATTCTTAACTTCTTTTTTAAAAATTACAATTTTTCATAATGCCAAAGATAGGAAATAGTGAGTAAAGGACAGTAAACTGATTTATTTAGCGAGTAAAGAACAGTAAACTTATTTTTACTAAACAACTCTTTTTACAATACACTCTCAAGTCTAAATTTCAAAATGTTAAAAAAATGATTCTTGTACAAATATAAAGTGAGCATATATCAAAGATTTATTTAACTTATTCATGAGGAAACTAGCAGAATACTACAGCTGGTTTAAAAAATAAAAGATATGAGAGAATATGATCAATGAATGAAAGATTGTTGAGATAAGGTTACTTCAATTAGATACAAAATTGGCTAATAATGTCCTATAGGCAATAAATCTGTAACTGAGCCATCATTTCTGTTGGCTGGAACCACTAACATCTCTATCAGAAAAAAAATCTTTTGTAATTTATTAGTCTTCTGTAAGCTGACATTTATCTGCGGAGAACCTCAGTTCTATTCAATGATAAAAGAAAAATATGCATTTCTCTAGAAAATCAGTGTTTTGTAAACAAGTTTGTTAGATAATTCTTCAGTATGATAAGGCACTTAGTAATCTTTTTACCATAATTTCAGTTTTGGATAATTTATCTTACTAAACTCTGTGTATATTCCACATAAAATCCAATAAAAGTACCAATTATACTGGTTAGGTACAGAATTTTTCAGTCTGATAGAGAGCTGCAAGACAAGCCCAATTTCTTTCTTGAAAACTGAAACATAGTGAAGAAGAATATTTACCTAACTCCTTGTCCTATAATACCCACTCTATGACTCTGTCATGGCATGTGCCCTAAATAAACACTGTCCATGTCTGTTATTTGATTTGCGTGAGAGAAATGTATCAGATTTTAACCCATATTGCATAAATTACTAGGGTCTTAACTGGATGACTGGTTTGGATGGGGAAAGGGATAAGAGAGGAAGAAAGAATGAATAGGTGAAAATCTTCTCACTCTAATGCTTTATTCAGATAAAGTTATTTAGTTTTGATAGACAAACTGAAATTGTATTCACATTTTTTAAAAGAGAGTTTTATTCAAAAACTGTTTTTGGAAACCCTTAAACTTCTAAATTAAAAGTCATATGCAATTGCAACAATTTGAAAAACTGGCTGCATGAGCCAGTTAAACAAATAGTAAAGTATTTGGATAACCAGGCACTAAGGAGATTAAATAAAGAGCCGCTATGTTCTAAATGTTGATAAGCCAAAGACAGGATAGTGTGTATGAACCTGCTAGTTCCCTTGACCAACAGGCATCTCCTTCTAAAAAGGAGTTTGAGACCTTATCTTGAGAATAACAATTAAGGGCAGAATCAGAACTAATACCTCAGTGACAATTTGTACAATTACCAGTGAAGATTAGCTGCCCAAGATGATCTAGATCTCCATACTACAAATCTCTTTTCAGTGAGTAATATCAAAATTATCTCTGTGTAAGAATGCGTGATAAGAATCAGGACCCAAAGAGTTAAAAAATATAGTTTATGGAAATCATTATTTGTTGTTTTAGTAATCCCTACATTTTCTAAGTAGTACTGAGAGTTTGTTGTCCAATTGGAAATTCACATTTAAAACTCTTAATCTCAAAAAATATATCACTAAGGAAGTAATTATCTTCTCTCAAGTGCAGCCAGTTTAGCTGAGTGTCAAACAGCATTTCTACATATTATTTTTCTCTGGTGTGGTGCTGTCTCCTTGGGCTTGTCTTATAAGTTGTTTCACGCTTTAACACTCAATAAATGCATGATAGTTGACCGAATGTTAACTTATGATATACGACATTTTTCTCTAGATGTCTCCCAAGTTGGGAGTACTACCAAAATAATTCCCCAAAAAAGCAAAAATAAACAAACACAAAGTAAATTCAAACAAAAAAAGGCCCTGCATCAGTATCCATATAACCTTCCTAGAAGGGCTTCCTTTATAGGTTAAATTTTAATTGTGTTTGGTGTTGTGGGTAGAGCTGTCAGTATTGGAATATTCATCAGGATCTTGATATTAAGGACTTATTATTTATTACTTTATTTTATGCTCAATGACCCTTCTGCCTATTGCATGTAAGGCAGAAATCTAGGTAGAAGGAATGCAGGTGAATAAAGATGGTTAGTCCCTAGTCAACATGGTTCAAACATAATATGAGAATAAAACAAGTGTGTGAATCTTTACAGTACAAAGCAGAAAGTACTTTGTGTAATAATGATGTTTCAGAGCAGGAAGAACTCACAACTAATTAGTTCTAATCAAAATTGGGGTATAAAAGAGATAGTTGCTGATAGAGGTCATCAATGATACATAGAATTTAGCTAGAAAAAAAATAAGTGGACAGAAATGTCCTGGCTATAGCAGGTAGCGTGAGAAAATGAAGAATATAAAACAGGATTAAGACAATGGAGTAGTATAGATATAGTATGGTATGGTATGGTATGGTATAGTACAGTACAGAATAGATATAGTATAGTATAGTACAGTATATTAGTATAGTATAGCTATAGTGTAGTATAGATGAAATACATAATGTTTGTAGGTGATTGTAGTTGATTGGGAAAAATAGATTTTGCACATATCATAGATGATCCCAAATCCTAGGATGAGCTATTACACTTGATGCAATCATCACCAACATACCAGTGAAGGCTTCTATTTATATAAGCTGTTTAAAAATATTTAATAGAATCTATTTTTGAATATCTTTCTGTTGTTCTATAGACTTTATTGAACTAGTGTGGAACTGGATTTTGAATGCCTAATTAGGATGAATTTCATAACACAATAGAAAGGCTACAGGGTTAAAGGGTCTAGTCTGGAATGATAGATGCGCACAAATTATGTCTTGACCTTGATTGTTAGTTGTCTTATTGAAACACTGTACAGCTCACAAAACCACTGGGCCCCATATCTCCTTGTTATATGGAGTTCTCCTTTATTTGAGTTGATCCACTTAATGCTGTCATCTGGAGGAAAATACCAGACTGCCACACTGTGCTGCATTCTTAGTGCATTTGTTGTTATTCATATACACTCCGTAAGGCCCAGTTTGATAGGAAATTTAGACCAATGAAATAACACAGCTCACCTCCTGACTCCTATAATGACCCAGGAATATTGTGTCATCAACAACAGGTTTTCTAAATAATATTGCCTTTAAAAATACTTTTTAAAATATATCAGGGGCTTGGAAGTTTGAACATAGTTTCAGAAGTCAATTGAATATTTCCTTCATCCCAGCATAAATCCAGGAAAACAGAGAAAGGCATGGAGTGGGATACACATAGTCAGAGAACACTAAGGTTGGGCAACAAAGAAAGAATGTAGTTTCATGTTCTTAGAAATATTATTATTAAGATGCATTTCTTGTTACCATTTTTCAGTATTTTGTGATTAAAATAAATGAGGCAACCCAGTACCCGAGGTTTTGGATGCATGCTTTTGATAAAAATCCTGAAACGAGTACATGATTACATAAGGAATCACGCAAGTTCAATGAGCATCCAAAAGTCCCAGAACGAGCTTGTCCAGCCCAGGGTACGCAGGCTGCATGCAGCCCAGGATGGTTTAGAATGTGGCCCAACACCAATTTGTAAACTTTATTAAAACCTTATGATTTTTTTTGGCAATTCTTTTTTAGCTCATCAGCTATCATTAGTGTGTGTATTTTATGTATGGCCCAAGACAATTCTTCTTTCAATGGGCCCAGGGAAGCCAAAAGATTGGATGCCTCTATTCTAGAAGCTGATTCACTCTCAGCATCCCACATACTCCCTTGTTTTTTATTACATATTCTATAGACATCATTATTTCATAGGTCCAATTAAAATGCTCAGGGCTTTTGTTTTGTTTTTTAGCCAGTTCTTTGTATGATATATTTCTCAGACTACCACTATCCTGATCAGTGTAAAAGATAAGACTATTATTCCCCTTAGCATGAATATTTTGTTTCTAATAATTTGCTCTAAGGTCAAAATAGTGTTGTCATGTGTCTCACTTCACTCACTTTTCTCACAGTTATAAAACAACCTCAAGGTTTCTCCAAATCAAGCTGTTCTTACAACAATTTTCTTCCTCCTCCTACTGGTTTAATTCACTTTGGAACTTCAAGATATTTACACAAATATTCAACAAACTTAATCTTATTATGTTTTACCTCCTTGTGGTTTTTGTTATTTCCAAATGTTGCCTCAGTCATGTAACACCTTGTTTTTCTCCTAAGCTTTTAACCCCTTGAACATTTGATAACAATTTCTTATTTGCATTCATCAAACATAAATCAATTTTTGACCCATAGAGGGTTAAAGATAGAACACTCCAATCATGAAGGACACTCATGTACTTGACATTTATGTATTTATAAATATATTTTAGGTATGGCTATGCAACCCTATTTTCTCTTATTTTTTATTTTTTGTCATGAAAATATTTTTCAAGTTTTTCTTATTTTTATATATATGAAATATTCTATACTCTTTTGGCCACTTTAGCTGTCCTGTAGACCCTATCTAGACCTTCCGGAGTTTTGCTATTTCTTTGTTGCAGATTGTTGACCAGAATTACAAACAGTATCTCATAGAAACACTGATTTCTACAAAGTGAGATAAAGCTTCCCATTTTATTTCTTTGGTCTGATTTCATTGTAAGAGTTCAGTGAGTCATTGCCTGCCAGGAGTCATCTACAGTGAGTCCTAGATCAGTCCACAGCTGTGACGAGTTCACTATTCCAGAAATACAAGTTTGAAGAACTTCCTACCCAACCCTCCCTTAGAAAATTACCCAAAATTGATCATGTAAAGCCCACTTTCTGCTTCTCCATATTCATTTTTATGGCAAAGTTTCCCCACTGGCCTGGATTTTCACTATGCAGAAGTGTTCAGGGTTATCTACAAACATAATACCTAAATTGTATATATTTATAACACATATATATGTACTCTATATACACATATATTGTACTATATATGTGTTTATGTACTATACATATACGCACACATGTATATGTACTATATATACACATACACAAACACATGGTTTTTTTTTTTTTATTACTAACCTAAATATAAAATAAGATCTCTGGAGAAAATTTTGTTAATGTGTTTCCATCATGAAAACACACAATAAACTTGTTTATTGTTCTATCTATAACAAAATATTTAAACTACTTTTATCCCAATTCGAATATCATTCTTGTGGAATTTGCCAAAGTATTTTTTTCCTTCAAATTGGAAAACAAACATGGGACTCTTCTTGGGAGATATTTATATTCTTAATCAAAGAACTTCATTATATTCATCAAACACCACAGCGCTGGTCACTTACATCTGTCTAATGAATTATATTTGGTGTTCATTGACTCTATTCTTTTTAATAGAGGTCATGGTTTGTTATCTATGGAACCGAGAATCATTAATCATGACTTGGAATTAATTTGAAGAGATGATTTTTAAAAACTTGTCATAGGCCTGCCTTTTGCAGTACAGGGTTCAGGGTTCCTTGCTTCATGATAAACATTTGCATAAAAGATTGAAGCTTTTAGAACCTTATCGTGTTGTTCAAATTTAGGGATATTAAAAGAGGAAGAAGCCTGAGATGAACACGGGCACGGCAACTGATAGCTTCATCCACTGAAGAGGGATTTTCCAGTTGCATGCTTGTTTCTCTCCCTACATGTGCTAACATTTGTTTAGAAATTTTATATTATGTTGAGACTAAAAAAAATCAACTCTGAGGTATAAATTTTGATAGTGCAAGGACCCATTTATCATGCTTGACATATAATCTTTTAAATTAAATTTTTATTGTGCAATGATTACAGTTTCACCTTTCTTTGTAAGAAGACTTTAGAGAGATGCCGTGTATCCTTTTTATCCAGTCTCCTCCAATGGCATCTTGTAACACTAGAGTCACCACCAGTATATTCACTTTGATGCTTTAAGAATACAAAATACTTCCATCACCACAAGGACCTCTCCTGTTGTCATTTTGTAGCCTCACATACTTCCACTTGTATTCCTCCTCAACCCCTAGCAACCACTAATTTCTTGGCATCATGAACCAGAGAATTTATTCATCACTAAATCTGTTCTGCCAGGATCTGCCACTCTTCAGCCAAAACTCCTAGTTACTCCTGATGACTTCTAGGCATCTGCCCTCCTTGGGCATCAAGTTTACTGCCAGTTGCCTTCTGAGTCACCTGCAGTCACCACTGGAGATGTAATTGAGTCCTCATGTGCCAAACTTATTTGGTTTTCACCTTAAAATTATTTTTTAAAAGACTATTATTCCCACATTTTCCCTCTACACTTGGTTTACTAATTTGCATGTGTAGTTTATAGGGCCAAGCTGGCAATAAGTTACTGTTATACTCCTCTCTTTATTTCCCGAATCTCCTATTCATGTTCCAGTTTAAACTCAGCTGGGAACACCTTGTCTCATTCAGAACTTAATCACAGTCTTTAGATATAGTCTTTTTTGTTTTCTTTATATGCTTATTATTAACATGTAGTATCCAGTATCTAATCCAGTAACAGTCACAAATTGGCCCATCAGTGGCAAGAAATTTAAAAAATGGACACTATAGTGAGGACTAAATTCAAAAATGACAGCCAAACTGGATTTTCTCAAGCACATTCTGCTAATTTGTATTACGTTTAAAGAGAAAAAATTACTTTTGGGTAATTGAACATCTATATCGCAATTGCAATGGTGGTTACACGAATCTATGCAACTGGTAAAACCTGTTTATAACAAAAAAAAAGTACATAAAAACTAGTTAAATCAGAATAAAATCTGTAGTTTAGTTAATTTTATTGTGACAATGCCAATTTTCTGGCTTTCATGATTGTACCGTATCGTGTAGAATGTTATTATTGGAGGAAACGGGGGAAGGTTACATAGGAACTCAACTGTATTAGTCCATTCTTACATTGTTGTAAAGAAATATTGAGACTGGGTAAATTATAAAGAAAAGAGGCTTAATTGGCTCATAGTTCCACAGGCAGGTGAAACTGTAATCATTGCACAATAAAAATTTAATTTAAAAGATTATATGTCAAGCATGATGAATGGGTCCTTGCACTATCAAAATTTATACCTCAGAGTTGATTTTTTTGGTCTCAAAATGATATAAAATTTCTAAACTAATGTTAACACATGTAGGGAGAGAAACAAGCATGCAATTGGAAACTCCCTCCTCAGTGGATGAAGAGGAATCATGGTGCTAGCATCTGCTCAGTTTCTGGAGAGGCTTCGGGAAACTGTCAATCATGGCGGAAGGTGAAGGGGAAGCAGGTGCTTCTGATGATTGGACTAACAGGAAGAGAGTAAGGGGGAGGTGCCCCACACTTTAAACAATCACATCACGTGAGAACTCACTATCGCGACCAAGGAGGATCTTGCTAAACCATTAGAAAGCACCCATATGTGGCTGGGCGCCGTGGCTCAAGCCTGTAATTCTAGCACTTTGGGAGGCTGAGGCAAGTGGATCACTTGAGGTCAGGAGTTCAGGGCCAGCCTGACTTACATGGTGAAACCCCATCTCTACTAAAAATACCAAAAAATTAGCCGGGTGTGGTGGCACGCCCCTGTAATCTCAGCTACTCCAGAGGCTGAGACAAGAGAATCGCTTGAACCCGGGAAGCGGATGTTTCAGTAAGCCGGAATCATGCCACTGCACTCCAGCCCTGGAAACAGAGTCAGACTCTGTAAGAAAAGAAAGGAAAGGATAGGAGAGGGGAGGGGTGGGGGGCAGGGAGAAGAAAGGGGGGAGGGGAGGGGAGGGGAAGGGAGGGGGATAGGAGAGGGGAGGGGAGGAAGGGGAGGGGGAAGAAGGGGGAGGGGAAGGGGGAGGGGAGGGGGAGGGGAGGGGAGGGGAGGAGGGGGAGGGGAGGAGGGGGAGGGGGAGGGGACGGGAGGGGAGGGGAGGGGGACGGGGAGAAGAAAGTGGGGAGGGGAGGGCAAGGGCAAAGAAACCTCCCATATCATCCAATCACCTCCCACTAGGTCCCACCTCCAACGCTGGGAATTACAATTCCATATGAGATTTGGGCAGGGATACATATCCAAACTGTATCATCAACTATTTTTGCAACTACTATGTGAGTCTAAAATTATTTCAAATTAAAAAATAAAGGCAAAACCCATCAAACTTACAGATTATTATGTGATTTAAAGTTCCTATCTCTCTCATTCTGTATGTGTGTGTATACATTACACGTATATATCTCAGATAGCTAAATGCATGTGCTTGTTTGACATACAGGTGTGTTGCTGTTGTTTTTTTTTTTTTTAAATTTTTATATATTTTTTAATTTGTTGAGATCACCCAAGGTGAAATGCAGTGACACGATCTGGACTCACTGCAACCTCCGCCTCCTGGGCTCAAGCAATTCTCATGCCTCAGCCTCCTGAGTAGCTGGGATCACAGGTGTGTGCTACCACGCCTGGCTAATTTTTGCCTTTTTAGTAGAGACAGGGTTTCACCATGTTGGCCAGGACGGTCTGGAATGCCTGACCTCAAGTGATCCACCTGCCTCAGCATCCCAAAGTGCTGGGTGCCACCGTGCCCAGCCTGACATCGTTTTTATGGATTTCAAAATATAAATGTATTTACATTGTTTGAAAGTTCATAGTGTATATAAAATTGAAGATAGGATCCTGAGATACGTATGAAAGCATTATAATGCACAGGTGTTTGTGTGAAACATAGATTGTATCTGAGGAGAAAGAAATGACAGTAGAATACTAATATCAAAAATATATAAATAAGATGATAGGATCCCAAAGTATAATTTTGTTTGCTTTTTAGACTAACAAAATATTACCACATCTAAATAAATGAAAAACATGAATGACATATGCTTTTTCCATCGATTTAATTTTTGTTAACAAATATAAAATGTTTTAGAATTTTACTTATAGAATTCAAAAATGTTTCCTTCATATTTATAATAATACTTAAATATGGAAATGAATACATCATCTCAAATAACACTGAGTTCATTCTTGGAATGTCTTTTTTTTTTTCTGTTAGAGATTTTCTTTCATTTTCTTTTTATTTTTCCCCAGGATGCTATCATGCCTACGTTTCTCCTGGTTAGTTTCACAGGATATTTTCCAAAGAGAACTTGAATAAAACAGACTTGATTACCACTGTTTTATTCTCAAAATAAGCTAATGGCTATTAAGACTTGTTCCTTGATTTGAGGGGGCTTTTTGGTATACTTATTCAAAAAGGCAGATTCAAAATAAGCTCTCTACTTCTTTATTCCTCAGAATCTCTGTTTGTATGTAATTGGCTAACAAAACCCATTGCTTATTAGCTTTGTCTCAGTGCTAAAAAAAAAAAAAAAAGTCCTTAAAATTATTGCAAACCTGCATCTGTCACACCTGATTACTCCAGGAGGAAAAACAAAACAAAACAGAACAGAAAAAAAAAAAAACAAAAAAAAGAAAAAAAAAAACTTGCTTTGGATAACATTTTATGACAATAGCTTTGCATCAGGGGACTTACTTATCTTCAATGTGTGCTCTATTCCTCATGTCACTCTTTCTTCCCCTTAATTGAGGAAAATGTGTTCAGAAGTTAAAGTTGTGGCCATCTATTTAAAGTTTTATATTATTCAGCTTAGAAAACAAATAAAATTTTCATACGTACAAGGGAATATAGCATCACTCAAGTAATGCCCATCACATTGCACAAGAAGTGGATAATCTTTCATTACAAAAGAAAAGATGGAAACTGCATAGATCTTCTGTAAATCAGAAGCTGTATAACCAGCTACTTAACTCAAATTCTAAAAGCCACCTAATGTTTGTATGTGGATGACACCAATATAACAAACATATTGCTTCAATTAAGTCAATTATGTTAATTTGTTGAAAAGAATCTGTTAACTGAATCATTCAGTATCCCTTAAACAAAACATAGGGTGATAATTTTGCAAATTATTATTTCAACTTATTGAGTTGGCAACGTATGAACAAAAGGCAACCTGCATCTATGTTTTAGGATAAGTAATTAGGTTCTCACAGACTGAGATTTTCATTTAAAAAGATTTCCCTTTTGGACAGTTTATAAAGTGAATTGGAAGAGAGACTGGAAGCAGGGAGAGCATTCTAAGAGCTCTCAGGGGAGAAGGAGGGTTTGGCCAAATACAGTGGCCAGACTCGTGAAAAGCCGTTACTGGAGAGGCAGGACCTCCAGCACCTGGGACATTGTGAATGTGAGTGAGGAAGAACAAGAGCCATGGACATGACAGAGATTCTGGCTGGAGAACTAGGAGGATGGCAGCATCAGCAAATGGTGTGGGTGGAAAATAGAAAATAAACACAGTTTTGATGATAAAAAGGCATTTTGTTAACATCTTGTAGCCATTCAAATAAAGATGTTTAATAGAAAGTTGGAAATTCAGGCCTAGATCTCAAAATCCAACTTAGGGCTGGAGATGTGGATATGGGAATCAGTCTCCAATATTTAGATGGGAATGAGACCTCGTAGAAGGAGGTTGAGTTGAAAAAGTCAGCCGTTCTTGTCCAAGAATACAAATGGGATCACAGTCTCATGGAGAAGAAGGCATTACAAGAATACCAACTGCACCAAAAAGGTTCCTTAGGGTTAAAACTAATAAAGAAGGCTTAGATTTCACTTTATTAGTGCAGAAGACTAATTGTAGCACAGTAGAAGAGAGATGGAAATGAGCTTCTATCCTTGAAAGTTTGGATATGAAATTGTCTCTTCAAGAAGTTTGGGAGGTCAATACAAAATAATGCAATATTGTAACTGAAGAAGTGAGTTGGAAAGGTGAGTTAGTTAAAAGACATTTGGTGGAGTTTGTTTTCTTTATTTTTTCTCTGAAATCAAGACTTTAGGCTTGTTTCATTAAAAGAGTTGAGGCCGAGAGAGATGTTAAGGAATACAGGGGCACCGTAGAGGTATAGCTAATGGAACAAGGGAGAATAGAGTTAGATGAGAAGATGGGATTAAACAGCCCGAGTAGGATTTGTCCCCTGTTAGACTGTAGAAGAAGGCCAGTTGGGTAGTAGACTGTGGCTAGACCACACTTTATTAATCCGTTTGTCAGTAAATACACATTTGAGATATTTCTAGATTAGACTGATTATGCATAAAGCTACCAGGCTCTCAGGAGGTCAGAAAATAAATCTAGGTAGTGAAGGAAACAGATAATAACAAAATAACAGGAATAAGCAAAATATTCCTGTTGAACTTACATTTGAAGACAAAAAAGCAGATGATGTCACTTGTGAGAAAGTAGCGAGAACAGCATGACCTTTAATAATCCATAGAAGAAGAAGAAAAATCCAATGAAGATAAAGGAGAAGCAATCACAGATCAAATAGACATATGCAAAATAAGATATGTTCTTTTTTTTTTTTTTTTTTTTTTGAGACGGAGTCTCGCTCTGTCGCCCAGGCTGGAGGGCAGTGGTGCGATCTCGGCTCACTGCAAGCTCCGCCTCTCGGGTTCACGCCATTCTCCCGTCTCAGCCTCGCGAGTAGCTGGGACCACAGGCACCCGCCACCACGCCCAGCTAATTTTTTGTATTTTTAGTAGAGACGGGATTTCACCATGTTAGCCAGGATGGTCTCCATCTCCTGACCTCATGATCCACCCGCCTCGGCCTCCCAAAGTGCTGGAATTACAGGCGTGAGCCACTGCGCCGGGCCTAAGATACATTCTTGAGTGAGAAAGATTCCAGGAGAAGATGACTAAGGGAGATATTCAAGAAGAATTTTAAAAAAGATTATTTCATTATCATCAGTTACCTCATTATCATCAGTGATTTTTCTGATTTGATTTGAAAGAAGAAACAGCAACGAACAAATTGCTAAAGTTTAAGAGAGCATGGAAGAGGAGGGAAAAACTGAGCAAACACCATCTATTAGAGAAGTTTTGCAGTGAAAGGGAATAGAAAACCAGACAGTACAAATGGAGAAACATAATGTAAAAAGGGTTTTTTTTTTTTCTTCCCAGGAAAGATGAAATCCAAATATATTGGAAAAAATGGCTTCTGTAGACCCAAGAATTGTCACTTATTTTAGCTCTTCTATATTTTGAAGAAACATTACCTGGTATTAATCATCCAATAGATAATAAAAATGGAAGCATATGAAATTGAGGAAGAGTAAAATTGTTAATGCTCAAATCAGACATTACATTTAGTATTAGAATTATTAATATTTCATGGCATAAATTTATCCAACTAAAGAATTTCACATTTTGAAAAAGATAAAATTGAAAGATGGTAATTTACCTTGCTATCACAAATAATTCTCACATTAACTAAAACTTGATAATTTTGTTGATTGTATGCTTATAAAAAGCTCTTGGTTCCACATTCAGAAAAATATTTTATCCCAAGTACTTTCCAAAGAGTATATCATCATATTTGCTGCCATTAATACTTAACAAATACCTGCGAAAAGCAATGGTTTTGGAGGGTAACCTGAGGGCAGTATAATCTATCTGTTCTTCTAGATACTGTAAACAATTTCTAGAGTAAGCTTGTCAGTAGGGAGCTGAATATCTATCTGCATCAAAAGTGTTGGTTACTGCTATAAATTTGTGTTTACTGAGCTGAGGTTTGGCATTTTTCCATGGGGCTACATTGAGGAAAACTGTAATGTATTTCCTATGAAATTTGTTGCTGTTTTTATATGGATTTTCTTGAACACTTCATTCTTTATGTAGCATAGTTTCTTTTATGTGAGGATTTGGGAAGTTTCTTTCTGGGCTCAGTACCTTGAGTATTATGCTTCTGCAAGCAACTGGTTAGATTTTATTTAAGATGAGCCTTGAAACTAATTCTGTCTGCATTTATGTGATATGCCAGAAATTTTAAAGCCAAATTTTTAGACACCCTCCTATGCAACAATTGTTTTTGGTTTTTCATATTTTTATCAAGCTAGTACATAGATAAGTATTTTTAATCAATTTGTAGAGAAATAAGTTCATTTAACGGTAAAGTTCTTTTTCCCCAATATCTTCTTATTTCCTGTTCCACTCTCCCTTTATACTTTTATATCAATTTGTTCGCTTATAAATGTAGAATTTGCCTATTGGTTAATGACTTCTTGGGTCAATTACTAGTTAGCTGACTTACTTTTCCACACATCTGACTACTTTTAGAAGTTATATTAAGGCCAGGCATGATGATTCATGTCTGTAATCCTAGCACTTTAAGAGGCCAAGGTGGGAGGATTGCTTGAGCCCAGGGGTTTGAGGCTGCAGTGAGCTGTGATTACACCACTGCACTTCAGCCTGGGCTACAGCGCAAGACCCTGCCTCAAAAAATATATATAATAGATATTTTTAATTCTCTATTGGTTAATTTTATTACATTTAATAATATACTTACAAATAGGTCTACTCTTCTGTCAAATTTTGGTAATATAATTTGACTCTTCACTTGGAAGATGAGTATATTATTTACCACATTATTTCTTCTACATTTTCGTATCCATTTCTACCTCCAAACCTCTGCTTCTTAGGTTGTATTTTAACATTGCCAAGATTGATAATGTTAGATTTGTATTTCTGTTTGTCTAAATATTTATTTAACATATCACAAAATGGATAGCATTTATCTAATTATTTTCATCCTTTCTTATGGCTTGACATGAAGGATAAAGAAAAAATTATAGGAGGTTTGGAAAGAAAAATAATATATTTGAGTAAAATTTAAAATAGATTTCTGATGCTATATTAGATTATCATCTGAAAAAATTTATTTGTCAATATCTTAGAAATTCAAATATGCATCCATTATATAATCCAGAAATTCTTCTCCTAGGCATTTGTAACAAATGCTCACAGCAATTTTATTTGTAATAGTAAAAAAACCTGGAAACATCCCAGTATCTATCAATACAAAAATGGGTACAGGTTATAGTAAACTTAGACAATGAAATAGTACACAGAAAAATAGAAATGTGCTACTGATAATAACGATATGAGGGAATCTTAACAAAATTGTTCTGAGTGAAAGAAGCCAGTGATGTTTGATTACTTTATTATGAAGTTCAAGAAAAGTCACAATTGGCTGGGTGCAGAGGCCCATGCCTGTAATCCCAGCACTTTGGGAGGCCAAGCTGGGCAGATCACTTGAGGTCAGGAGTTCCAGACCAGCCTGGGCAATGTGGTGAAACCTCATCTCTACTAAAAATACAAAAATTAGCCGGGCGTGGTGGCCTGTGCCTGTAGTCCCAGCTACTCAGGAGGCTGAGGTGGAAGAATCACTTGAACCTGGGAGATGGAGGTTTCTGTGAGTTGAGACCATGCCACTGCATTCCAGCCCGGACAACAGAAAAAGACTCTGTCAAAACAAAAGGCAAAATTAACTATGGTTATAGAAATCAGAAAAGTGTATACACACGGTGAGGAGTGGCATTAATTGAAAAGAATATTGACTGAGGGGATTGATGAGACTAATTTCTGGGATAATAAAATGTTCTATATCTTGATAGGGAGTGAGGGTCACGTGAGTGATCACATTTCTCAAAACTAATCAAACTATTCACTGGTTTTCAGTTTACTGTATTAAAAATTATTATCATTCTTTTTAAAAAAATGACGTATTGCTCCCTGAACAGTCTGCAGTTTCACTGAGAGATCAAATAGTAAACATTATAATTTTACTATTCATTATAAAATGTATTATGATATAGGTAAGCACAGAATTTCAGAATGAGCATCAAGTAACCCCACTATGCATTTATCAAATCTGTTTCACTTTCCTTCTGTGGCACATATTCCAGTCTCTTGGACACTAAGGTTAAGATCAATATGATACATGACCAATGGAATGTATGCAGAAGTGATATTTTCTTCATCAAATCTGGCCATAAATCCTAAGTTCATTCCTATATGTTTGTCTTCTGTTTCTGTGGTGGACTTGAGAATCAGATGTTGATGACAAAAACCAAATGAAGTGAGCCCGGATCCCTGAATGACTATGTGGAACAGTGCTCCTCTGTCCTTTTCTTTCTATACTGAAATGTGATGTGGGCAAAAATCAATCATGTATTATAGTAAAACGCTGGAAAGAAGGAAACAAGAAAGGAGGGGAGGAAGGAAATAAAGAAGAAAAGAAAGATGGAAGGAAGGAAAGAAAGAGAGAAAAAAAGGAGAGAGAAAAAGGAAGGAAGTTGGAGAGAAGGAAGAAGAGGGAGTCAGAGAGTAAGAAAAGAATTGATGGTTCTTCTGCCAGTGACTTAGACTGGAGATAAATAAACTATGGGAGGCAATAAAGCCATTAAAAAGACAGTCCACTTGTTGAGTAGGCTGAGAACAAATGATCACAAAGAAGGAAACCTATTGAATACCATCATCATGTGATGCCCCTAAAGAATAAAGAGAAGGAATCAAGAATCAGATTTTTAAGATTTTACTTTATTAATTTTCAAAGTCAAATTATTGCTTGCAAAATAATGCTGTTCTTAATGCTTCTAGTACGATTATTCTAAAATGCTTTCACAACATTGACAACATTAAGAAGACAAGATGTATTTATTTGGGTAAAGAGCAGTAGGGTCTAGAGAGGATATTGCTGCATATATATATATGTATATATATATATATATATATATATATATATATATATATATATGGAATATGTTGGCATGTCTCACAATGTTTGACATGATTTTGCAATAAAAAAGAGTGTATTTTTAGCATAGTTCAAGTGAATTACCCAAGTGAACAAGCTAAATTTGATTGGGGTGGGGGGTTAATTTTTACATCTCTCCTGGCAGTTCTCTCAAGATTTTTCCATGATTGTTTTCTTTTTATCCCATGATCTCTGACATCTAGCCACATTACATAATTATAACGACATCCCCCTACAACTAGGAAACCCTTACACATTACCCTGGTGTCTTTTTGAGTCAGTCTAGCATGCTCTATTTTTTTTCCTGTAAGATATTATCAAATATATGGTTTTTAACTACCAATGGTAATAGAACTGGTTTTTGTACATCCAGAAATAACAAGACCTATGAAATGTAGATAGATGGGAATTTGGAAATGCACATTTATATTCATTTACTTAAGCACATTTATTGACCACTGAACACTGTGGTCATCAGATACACAGGGACCAAAGAGGTATGGTCTGAAACCTCACAGCTGACTTACATACTTCTGAATCAGTTAGGGAGTTAATCAAAAACATAATGAAGTAATCACAATTGAGTGAAGAGGGGAAAAAAAAAAAAAAAACACAGGATGCTCTTGATACAGGCAAACTCCCAAATTGGGGCTTAGCCAGGAGAGTTATTGGCTTCATACAGGAAAGAACTCAAGAGTACACCAACAGAATAAAGTGCAAGCAAAGCAAGTTTATTAGAGTAACAGAGTAGGGAAAAACGGCTGCTCCATAGACAGAGCAGGACATATGCAGAGTAGCACTTGTAGATTGCTGGCTAGCTATATTTATAGCTACTCCTTAATTATATGCTAAATAAGGGCCAGGTAATTCATGAATTTTCTAGAAAAGGAGTGGGGACTTCCTGGAACCAAGGATTCCTCTCTTTTTATACCAT